>NC_000012.12:34414016-34566711 GCF_000001405.40 Homo sapiens | reverse complement strand
CATTGAGGCCTCTGGTGAAAAAGGAAATATCTTCAGATAAAAACGTAGAAAGAAGCTTTCTGAGAATCTGCTTTGTGATATATGGATTCTTCTCACATACGTAAATGTTTCTTTTGATGTAGGTGTTTGCAAATGCTGTTTTTGTAAAATCTGCAATGGTGTATTTGGGAATACATTGAGGCCTATTGTCAAAATGAAATATTTTACATAAAAACTAGAAAGAAGCTTTCTCAGAAACTGATTTGTGATGTGGGCATTCATCTCTCAGAGGTATACATTTCTTCTGATGGAGCTCTTTGGAAACAATGTTTTCGTAGAATCTGCAAATGGATTTTTGGGAGCACTTTGAAGCTTATGTTGAAAAATAAATACCTTCAGATTAAAACTACAAAGAATCTTTCTGAGAAACTACTTTGTATTGCATGCATTCATCTCACAGGGTTAAATCTTTCTTTTTATGGAGCTGTTTGGAAACAAAGTTTTTCTAGAATCTGCAATGTGATATTTGGGAGCACATTGAGGCCTATGGTCAAAAAGGAAATATCTAAGGAGAAAATCTGGAAAGAAGCCTTCTGAGAAACTGCTTTGTGATGTTTGCATACATTTCACAGAATTAAACCTTTCTTTCTATGGAGCAGTTTGGAAATACGGTTTTTGTAGATTCTGCAAAGGGATATTTGGGAGCAAATTGAGTATTATGGGGAAAAAGAATATATCTTCGGACAAAAAGTTGAATGCAGCTTAATGAGAAAATGCTTTGTGATGTGTGAATTCATCTCACAGAGTTAAACATTTTGTTTGAAGGAGCACTTTGGAAACACTGTTTTTGTAGAATCAGTGAAGGCATGTTTGGGAGTGCATCAAGACCTATGGTGAAAAAGGAAATATCTTCAGAAGAAAATAAGAAATAAACTTTCAGAGAAATTGCTTTGGATGTGTGCATTCATATCACAGACATAAACCTTTCTTTTTTTGAGCAGTTTGGAAACCCTCTTTTTGTAGAATCTGTGAAGGGGTACTTGGGAGTGAATTGAGGCCTATGGTGAAAAAGAAAATATCTTCAGAGAAAAACTAGAAAGAAGCTTTCTTAGAAACTGCTTTGAGAGGTGTGCATTCATCTTGCAGATTGAAAGCTTTCCTTTGATTGAGCAGTTTGGAAACATTGTTTTGGTAGAATCTGTGTAGGGATATTTGGGAGCGCATTGAGGCCTATGGTGAAAAAGTAAATATCTTCAGATAAAAACTGGAAAGAAGCTTTCGGAGATACTGCTTTGTGATGTGTGCATTCATCTCACAGAATTAAATCTTTCTTTTGATGGAACAGTTTGGAAACACTGTTTTTGTAGAATCTGCAAAAGGATACTTTGGAGTGCATTGAGGCCTGTGGTCAAAAAGGAAATATCTTGACAAAAACTACAAAGACTCTTTCTGAGAAAATGATTTGTGATGTGTGCATTCATCTCACACAGTTAAGCTTTTCTTTTGATGGGGCAATTTGTAGACACTGTTTTTGTATAATCTGCGAAGGGATATTTGGGAACACAATGAAGCCTATGGTGAAAAAGGAAATACCTTCAGAGGAAAACAAGAAAGAAGCTTTCCAGGAAACTGCATTATGATGTGTGCCTTCATCTCACAATGTTAAAAGTTTCTTTTGATTGGGCAGTCTGGAAACACTGTTTTAGTGGAATATACAAAGGGATGTTTGGTAGTGCATTGAGGTCTAAGGTCGAAAAGGAAGTAGAATCAGATAAAAACTAGAAAGAATCTTTCTGAGAAACTGCTTTGTGATGTGTGCCTTCATTCTTTTTAATGTGTGCATTCATCTCACAGAGTTGAACCTTACTTTTGATTGAGCAGTTTGGAAACAGTCTTTTTGTAGAATCTGCAAAGGGATATTTGTGAGCGGTTTGAGGCCTATTGTGAAAAAGGAAATATCTTCAGATAAAAACTAGAAAAGCTTTCTGAGAAACGACTTTGTAATGTGTGCATTCATCTCACAGACTCAAATCTTTCTTTTGATTGTGCAGTTTGGAAACACTGTTCTTGTACAATCTGTGAAGGGATAGTTTGTTGTGCATTCAGTCCCAGGTTGAAAAAGGAAATATCTTGAGAGAAAAACAAGAAAGACTCTTTCTGAGTAAGTACTTTGTGATGTGTACATTCATCTCAGAGTTAAACAGTTCTTTTGATTGAGCAGTTTGGAAACACAGTTTTTGTAGAATCTGCAAAAGGATATTAAGGAGGGCATGTATTCCTGTGGTGAAAAAGTAAATATCTTCAGATTAAAACTAGAATAAGCTTTCTTAGACACTGCTTTCTGAGAAACTGCTTTGTGATGTGTGCATTTGTCTCACAGAGTTAAAGCTTTCATTTGATGCAGCAGTTTGAAAATACTATTTTTGTAGAATCTGCCAAGGAATATTTGGGTGCACATTTAGGCCTGTGGTGAGAAAGGAGATATTTTAAGAGAAAAACCAGAAAGAATCTTTCTGCAACACTGCTTTGTGATGTGTGCATTCATCTCATAGAGTTAAAAAATAATTTTGATAGAGCATTTTGGAAACAATGTTTGTGTAGACTATGCAAAGGGATATGGGGCTCATTGGGGCCTATAGTGAAAAAGGAAATATCTTCAGGGAAAAACTAGAAAGAAGCTTTCTAAGAAACTGCTTTGTGATTGGTGCACTCATGTCACAGATTTAAAGCTTTCCTTTTATGGAGGAGTTTGGAAACACAGTTGTGGTAGAATCTGCAAGTGGATATTTGGGAGCACATTGAGGACTATGGTGAAAAAGGAAACATCTTCAGATATAAACTAAAAGAAGCTTTCTGAGAAACTGATTTGTGATGTGTGCATTCATCTCACAGAGTTAAACCTTTTTTTGATTCAGAAGCTTGGAAACACTCTTTTTGTCCATTCTGAGTATGGACTTTTGGGAGCTCATTGAGGAAAATGGTGAAGCAGAGTTAAACCTTTGTTTTCATTAAGCAGTTTGGAAACACTGCTTTTGAAAAATCTGGGAAGGGATATTTGGGAGCTGATTGAGGCCTAGATTGAAAAGGAAACAACTCCAGATAAAAACTAGAAAGGAGCTTTCTGAGAAACTGCTTTGCAATGTGTTCATTCATCTCACAGAGTTAAACATTTCTTTCAATTCAGCAGTTTTGAAACACTGTTTTTGTCCTTTGTGCAAATGGACATTTGGGAGTGCATTGAGGTCATAGCGAAAAAGTGAATATCCCAGGATAAAAACTAGAAGGAACCTATTTGTGAAACTGCTTTGTTATGTGTACATTCATCTCGTGGAGTTAAACCTTTCTTTTCATTCAGCAGTTTGGAAAAACTGTTTTTTAAGAATTTTTGAAGGGATATTTTGGAGTGCATTGAGGCCTATGGTGAAAAATAAAACATCTTCAGATAAAAACAACAATGAAACTTTCTGAGGAACTGCTTTGTGATGTGTGCATTCATATCACAGAGTTAAACTTTTCTTTGGATCCAGCAGTTTGGCAACACTGTTTGTATAGAATCTGTGAAGGGATATTTGGGAACACATTGAGGCTTATGGTGAAAAAGGAAAAATCTTCAAGTAAAAACTATAAAGAACTTTTCTGAGAAACTGCTTTGTGGTATGAACATTCATCTCATAGAGGTACACCCTTCTTTTGATTAACCTGTTTGGAAACACTCTTTATGTCCATTGTATGAACAGACGTTTGGGAGATCATTGATGCCAATGGCTAAAAGGTGAATATCCCAGGATAAGAACTAGAAGGAATCTATCTGAGAAACTGCACTGTGATATGTGCATTCATTTCACAGATTAAAATCTCTGTTTTCATTCAGTAGTTTGGAAACACGGTTTTTATAGAATCTGCGAAGGGGTATTTGGGAGTTCATTGAGTCTTATGTTGAAAAAGGAAATATCTTCATATGCAAACTAGAAAGAAGTTTTTGTGAAACTGCTTTGTGTTGTGTGCATTCATCTCAGAGCTAAACCTTTCATTGGATTCAACAGTTTGGGAACACTTTCTTTGTCCATTCTGTGAATGGACATTTGGGAGCTCATTGAGGCCAATGGTGAAAAAGTGAATATCTCAGGATAAAAACTAGAAGGAAGATATCTGAGAAACTGCTGTGTGACATGTGCATTTATCTCACTGAATTAAACCTTTCTTTTCATTGGGCTGTTTGGAAATACTATTTTTGTCCATTGTGTGAAGGGACAATTTGGTGCTCCTTGAGGACAATGGTGAAAAAGTGAATATCCCAGGATAAAAACTAGAAGTAAGTTATGTGAGAAACCATTTCCTGATGTGTGCATTCATTTTGCAGAGTGAAAAGTTTCTTCTCCTTCAGCAGTTTGGAAACATTGTTTTTGTTGAATATGTGAAGGGACATTTAGGAGAGCATTGCGGTCCACTGTGAAAAAGGGAACACCTTCAGATAAAAGCTAGAAAGATGCTTTCAGAGAAACTGCTTTGTGAAGTGTGCATTCATTACAAAGAGTTAAAAATTTGTTTGATTTCAGCAATTTGAAACACTGCTTTTTGTCCATTCTGAGAATGGACTTTTGGGAGTTCATTGCGGTGAGTGGTAAAGAAGGGTATATCCCAGGATAAAATCTAGAGGAATCTATCTGAGAAACCGCTTTTTGATATGTGTTTTGATCTTGCTGAGTTAAATATTTGTTTTTATTCTGCAGTTTGGAACCACTGTTTTTGCAGAATCTGCAAAGAGATAATTGGAAATGCATTGAGGACTATGGTGAAAAAGGAAACATCTTCAGACAAAAACTAAAAAGAAGCTTTCTGAGAAATGGCTTTGTGATGTGTGCATTCATCTCAAACATGTAAGCCTTTCTTTGTATTCAACAGTTTGGAAACACTGTTTTTGTTCATTCTGTGAATGGACATTTGGGAGCTCATTGAGGCCAAAGGCAATATCTGAAGATAAAAACTCGAAGGAAGCTATCTGAGAAACCGCTTTGTGATGTGTGCACTCATCTTGAAGAAGTAAACCTTTCTTTTCCATCAGCTGTTTGGAAACACTGTTTTGTAGAATCTGCTAGGAATATTGTGAGCACATAAAGTCTTTTACTGAAAAAGGAAACATCACCAGATAAAAACTAGAAAGAGGCTTTCTGAGAAACTCCTTTGTGACATGTGCATTCATTTCAGTGTTAAAACTTTCTTTTCATTCAGTAGTTTGGAAACACTCTTTTTGTCAGTTATGCCAATGGATATCTGTTAGCTCATTGAGGCCAGTGGTGAAAGAGTGAATATCCCCTTATAAAAGCTAAAAGGAAGCTATCTGAGAAACCACTCTGTGATGTGGGCAGTCATCTCACAGAGTTAAACCTTTCTTTTCATAAAGCAGTTCATTAACACTGTGTATGTAGGAATTGCACACGATATTTGGGAACACATTGAGGCCTATGGTGAAAAAGGAAACATCTTCGGATAAAAACTAGAAAGAAGCTTCTTGAGAAACTGCTTTACAATGTTTGCAATCATCTCACAAGTTAAAACTTTCTTTGGGTTCAGCTGTTTGGAAACACTGTTGTTGTCCAGCCTGTGATTGTACATTTGGGAGCTCATTGAGACTAATGGCAAAAAAGCAAATATCTAAGGATAAAAACTAGAAGGAAGTGATCTGATAAACTGCTTTGTGTTGTGTGCATTCATCTCTCAGAGTTTAACCTTTCTTTTAATTCAACAGTTTGGAAACACTGTTTTCATAATATGTGCTAAGGTATATTTGGGAGCACATGGAGTCCTATGGTGAAAAAGGAAACACCTTCAGATAAAAACTAGAATGAAGCTTTCTGAGAAACTGCTTTGTGATGTGTGCATTTATCTCAGAGACGTAAACCTTTTGTTGAATTTAGCTGTTTGGAAACACTTTTTAAATTCTGAGAATGGGCATTTTGGAGCTCATTGAGGCCAATGGTTTAAAAGCAAATGTCCCAGGATAAAAACTGGAAAGAAGCTATCTGATAAACCTCTTTGTGATGTGTGCATTCGTCTCTCAAAGTTAAAACTTTCCTTTCATTCAGCAGTTTGAAAACACTCTTTTTGTAGAATCTGCAAAGGTATATTTGGGAACACATTGAGTCCTATGGTGAAAAAGGAAACATCTTCAGATAAAAACTATAACAAAGCTTTCTGAGAAACTGCTTTGTGATGTGTGCATTCATCTCACAGCCTTAAAACATTTTTTTGAATTCAGCTGTTTGGAAACACTGTTTTTTTACATTCTGAGAATGGACATTTTGGAGCTCATTGAGGCCAATGGTGAAAAAGCGAATATCCAGGGATAAAAACTAGAAGCAAACTACCTGAGAAACCACTGTGATGTGTGCATTCATCTGACAGAGTTAAACCTTTCTTTTCATTCAACTGTCTGGAAACACTGTTTCTGTAGAATCTTTGAAGGGATATTTTGGAGAGCATTGAGTCCTATGGTGAAAAAGGAAAAATCTTCAGATAAGAACTAGAAAGAAGCTTTCTGAGAAACTGCTTTGTGATGTCTTCATTCATCTCATGGAGGTAAACATTTCTTTGGATTCAGCAGTTAGGAAACAACCATTTGGGAGCTCATTGAGGCCAATGGTGGAAAGCGAATATCCCAGGATTAAAACTAGAAGGAATCTATCTGCGAAATCATTTGTAATATGTGCATTCATCTTACAGAGTTAAAACATACTTTTCGTTCAGCAGTTTGCAAACACTATTTTTGTAGAATCTGCAAAGGGATATTTGAACACACATTGAGGCCTATGGTGAAAAAGGAAACATCTTCAGATAAAAACAAGAAAGCAGCTTTCTGGGAAACTGCTTTATGATGTGTGCATTCATGTCACAGAGTTAAACTTTTCTTTGGGTTCAGCAGTTTTGAAACACTGTTTTTGTCCATTCTGGGAATGGACATTTGGGAGCCCTTTGAGGCCTATGGTGAAAAAGTGAGTATCCCAGGATAAAAACTAGAAGGGAGCTATCTGAGAAACCACTTTGTGATGGGTTCATTCATCACATAGAGTTAAAACTTTCTTTTCATTTAGCAGTTTGGAAACACTGTTTTTGTAGAATCTGCAAAAGGATATTTGGGAGCACATTGAGGCCTACGGTGAAAAAGGAAACATCTTCAGATAAAAACTAGAAAGAAGAGTTCTGAGAAACTGTTTTGTGATATGTACATTCACCTCACAGAGTTAAAACTTTCTTTTTGTTCAACCGTTTGGAAATACAGTTTTTGTCCATTCTGGGAATGGACATTTGGGAGCTCATTGAGGCCAATGGGGAAAAAGCAAGTATCCCAGGATAAAAACTAGAAGGAAGCTATCTGAGGAACTGCTTTGCGATGAGTGAATTCATCTTGAAGAGTTAAAACTTGCTTTTATTTCAGCAGTTGTGAAACACTGTTTTTGTAGAATCTGTGAAGGGATATTTGGGAGTGCATTGAGGCCAATGGTGAAAAAGGAAACTACTTCAGATAAAAAAAGAAAGAAGCATTCTGAGAAACTACCTTGTGGTGAATGCATTCATCTCACAGTGTTAAGCCTTTCTTTGGATTCAGCAGTTTGGAAACACTCTTTTTGTCCACTTTACCAATTGACATTTGGGTGCTCATTGAGGCCAATGACAAAAAACAGAGTACAACAGGAAAAAACCTAGAGGGAAATTCTCTGAGAAACCACATTTTGATGTGTGCATTCATCTCACAGAGTTAAATCTTTCTTTTCATTCAGCAATTTGGAAACCCTGTTTATGTAGAATCTGCTTAGGGATATTTTGACACACATTGACCCCTATGTTGAAAAAGGAAACACCTTCAGATAAAAACTAGAAAGAAGCTTTCTGAGAAACTCATTTGTGATATGTCCAATCATCTCACAGAGTTAAGCCTTTCTTTGGATTCACCAGTTTGGAAACACTCTTTTTGTCCATTCTGTGAATGGACAATAGGGAGCTTTTTGAATCCAGTTGCCAAAAAGGGAATATCCCAGGATAAAATGAGAAGGAAGCTATCTGAGAAACCGCTTTGAGATGTGTGCATTCATCTTGCAGAGTTAAACCTTTCCTTTCATTCAGCAAGGTGGAAACACTTTTTTTTTTTTTAATTTTGTGTAAGGACTTTTGGAGCTCATTGAGGCCAATGGTGAAAAAGTGAATATCCAGGGATAAATACAAGAAGCAAACTATCTGAGAAACCGCTATATGATGTGTGCATTCATCTCACAGAGTTAAACCTTTCTTTTCATTCAGCAGTTTGGAAACACTGTTTACATAGGATCTGCAAAGGGATTTTTTGGAGCGCATTGATGCCTATTGTGAAAAAGGAAATATCTTCAGATAAAAACAAGAAGGAAGATTTCTGAGAAACTGCTTTGTGATGTGTGCACTCATCTCACAGACTTAAAACTTATTTGAATTCAGCTGTTTGGAAACCACGTTTTTTTTTTAATTTTGTGAATGTACATTTTTGATCTAATTGAGGCCAATTTTGAAAAAGTGAATATCCAGGGATAAAAACTAAAATCAAACTATCTGAGAAACGACCATGATGTGTGCATTCATCTTGCAGAGTTAAAACTTTCTTTTCATTCAGCTGTCTGGCAACACTGTTTTTGAAGAATCTTTGAAGGGATATTTTGGAATCCATTGAGGTCTATGGTGAAAAAGGGAAAATCTTCTGAAAAAAACTAGAAAGAAGCTTCCTGAGAAACTTTTGTGTGATGTGTGCATTCATCTCACTGAGTTAAAACTTTCTTTGGCTTCAGTAGCTTGGAAACACTGTTTTTGTCCATTCTGTGAATGGACATTTGGGAGCTCATTGAAGCCAATGGCAGAAAGAGAATATCCCAGGATAAAAACTAGAAGGAAGCTATCTGAGAAAGCGTTTGTAATGCTTGCTTTCATTTCACAGAGTTAAACCTTCTTTTTCATTCAGCAGTTTGGAAACACCGTTTTTTTAGAATCTGCAAAGGGATATTTGAGCATGCATTGAGGCCTATGGTGAAAAAGAAATGTCTTGAGATGAAATAAAAACTAGAAGGAAGCCTTCTGAGAAGAGAAACTGCTGTGTGATGAGTGCATTCATATCACAGGGTTAAACTTTTCTTTGGATTCAGCAGTAACACTGTTTTTGTCCACACTGAGAATGGACATTTGGGAGATCATTGAGGCCAAAGGCAAAAAAGTGAATATCCCATGATAAAAACTAGAATGAAGCTACCTGAGAAACACCTTTGTGATATGTGTATTCATCTCGCAGAGTTAAACTTTCTTTCCATTCAGCAGTTTGGAAATACTGTTTTGGTAGAATCTGTGAAGGGATATTTAGGATCACATTGAGGCCTATGGAGAAAAAGGAAACATCTTCATATAAAAACTAGAAAGAAGCTTTCTGAGAAACTGGTTTGTGATGAGTGCATTTATCTCAAAGAGTTAAACCTTTCTTTTTGCTCAGCAGTTTGGAAACACTGTTTTCGTCCACTCTGCGAATGGACATTTTGTAGCTAATTGAGGCCAAAGGTGAAAAACTGAATATTCCATGATAAAAACTAGAAGGAAGCTACCTATGAAAAAGCTTTGTAATGTTTGTATTCATCTCACAGAGTTAAACTTTCTTTTCATTCAGCAGTTTGGAAACACTATTTTTGTAGAACCTGCAAATCTATATTTGGGAGTGATTTGAGGCCTTTTGTTAAAAAGGAAACATCTTCAGATAAAAATTAGAAAGAAGCTTTCTGAGAAACTGTTTTGTGATGTATGCATTCATCCCACAGGAGTTAAAACTTTTTTGGATTCATCAGTTTGGAAACAATTTTTTTGTCCTTTCTGCGAATGGACATTTTGGAGGTCATTGAGGCCAATGGCAAAAAAGTGAATATTGCAGGATAAAAATTAGAAGCAAGCTAAATGGAAAACTGCTTTGTGATGTGTGAATTCCTCTCACAGAGTTAAATCTTTCTTTTCATTTAGCAGTTTGGAACACTGTTTTTCTAGGATCAGCAAAGGGATATTTGGGAGCACATGGAGGACTATGGTGAAAAAGGAAACATTTTCAGATAGCAACTGGAAAGAAGCTTTCTGAGAAACTGCTTTGTGAAGTGTGCATTCATCTTACAGATTTAAACTCTTCTTTTTATTCACCAGATTGGAAACACTGGTTTTGTCCTTTCTTTCAATGGACATTTTTGGGAGTGCATTGAGGCCTATGGTGAAAAATGAAACAAATTAGATAAAAACTAGAAAGAACCTTTTTGAGAGACTGCTTTGGGATGTATGCATTCATCTCACAGAGTTAAACCTTTCATTGGATTCAGCAGTTTGGAATCACTGTTTTTGTCCATTCTGCAAATGGACATTTGCAAGTTCATTGAGGCCAATGGCAAAAAACGGAATATCCCATGATAAAAACTAGAAGAAAGCTATCTAAGAAACCGCTTTGTGATGTGTGCACTCATCTCGCTGAGTTAAACCTTTCTTTTAATTCAGCAATTTGGAAACACTCTTTTTGTCCATTCTGTGAATGGACACTTGGGTGCTCCTAAGAACAGTGGTGAAAAAGTGAATATCCCAGGATAAAAACTAGAAGGAAGTTACCTGAGACAGTGCTTTGTGATGTGTGCATTCATTTTGCAGAGTTAAAATTTTCTTTTCCTTCAGCAGTTTGGAAACGTTGTTTTTGTAGAATCTGTGAAGGGTCATTTAGGAGCGCATTGTAGACTGTTGTGAAAAAGGAAACATCTTCAGATAAAAACTAAAAAGATGCTTTCAGAGAAACTGCATTCTGATGTGTGTATTCATCTCAAAGAGTTAAAATTCTCTTTGATTTCAGCAGTTTGGAAACACTGATTTGTCCATTAAGAGAATGTTCATTTAGGAGTTCATTGAGGCCAAATGTGAAAAAGGGTATATCCCAGGATAAAATCTAGAGGAAGCTATCTCCGAAACTGCTTTGTGATATGTGCTTTGATCTCACAGAATTAGATCTTTGTTTTCATTCAACAGTTGTTAACCACTGTTTTTGCAGAATCTGCAAAGGGATAATTGGGCACATATTGAGGCTTATGGTGAAAAAGGAAACATCTTCAGATAAAAACTAGAAAGACGTTTTCTGAGAAACTACTTTGTGATGTGTGAATTCATCTCCCATATTTAAAACTTTATGTTCATTCAGCAGTTTGGAAACGCTGTTTTTGTCCATTCTGTGAATGGACATTTGGGAGCTCATTGAGGCGGACAGGGAAAAAGGGAATATCCCAGGATAAAAAGTAGAAGGAAGCTAGCTCAGAAACCGCTTTGTGATGTGTGCATTCTTCTTGCAAAGTTAAACCTTTATTTTCCTTCAGCAGTTTGGAAACTCTATATTTGTAGAATCTGTGAATGGATATTGGGAGCACATTAAGGCTCATGTTGAAAAGGGAAACATCTGCAGATAAAAACAAGAAGCATTCTGAGAAACTGCTTTGTGATGTGTGCATTCATCTCACAGAGTTTAAACTTCCTTTGGATTCAGCAGTTTGTAAACACTCTTTTTGTCCATTCTGCCATTTGACATTTGGGTGCTCACTGAGACCAATGGCAAAAAAGCTAGTATACTAGTTTAAAATCTAGAATGATCATCTCTGAGAAACCACATTTTGATGTGTGTGTTCATCTCACAGAGTTAAACCTTTCTTTTCATTCAGCAGTTTGCAAAACCTGTTTTTGTAGAATATGCGAAGAAATATTTGGGAGAGCAGTGACCCCTATGGTGAAAAGGGAAACATCTTCAGATAAAAATTAGAAAGAAGCCATCTGAGAAACTGCTTTGTGATGTGTGCTTTCTTCTCACAGACTTAAGCCTTCCTTTTTCTTCAGCATTATATAAGCACTATTTTTGTAAAAACTGTGAAGGGATATTTTGGAGCACATTGAAGCCTTTGGTGAAAAAGGAAAAATCTACAGATAGAAACCAGAAAGAAGCTTTCTGAGAAACTGCTTTGTCATGTGTGCATTCATTTCACAGGGTTTAACCTTTCCTTCAATTTAGCAGTTGGGAAACACTGTTTTTGTCCATTCTGAAAACTGACATTTGGGAACTCATAGAAGTCAATGGTGAAAAAGGGAATATAATGGGGAAAAAAACAGAAGGAAGCTCTTTGAGATACTGCTTTGTGATGCGTTCACTCATTTGGCAGAGTTAAACCTTTCTTTTCATTCAACAGTTTAGAAATCCTGTGTTTGTAGAATCTGTGAAGGGAAATTTGGGAGCGAAGAGAGGCCTATGGTGAAAAAGATAACATCTTCAGATAAAAGTTAGAAAGAAGCTTTCTGTGAAACACATTTGTGATGCGTGCATTCAACTAACAGAGTTAAAACTGTCTTTGGAGTTAGCAGTTTGGAAACACTGCTTTTGTACATTCTGCAAATGGATATAGGGAACTCATTGAGGCCAATGGCAAAAAAGAGGGTATCCCAAGATAAAAACTGAAAGGAATGAATCCGAGAAACCACTTTGTGATAGCTGCATTCCCCTCATAGAGTTAAATTTTTTTTACATTCAGAGGTTTGGAAACACTGTTTTTGTAAAATATGTGAAGGGATATTTGGGAGTGCATTGAGGCTTATGGTGAAAAAGAAACTATCTTCACAAAAAACTATAAAGAAATTTTCAGAGGAACTGCTTTGTGATGTGTGCATTCATCTCAGAGAGTTAAACTTTTCTTTTGATTCAGCAGTTTAGAAGCACTGTTTTTGTCCATTCTGCAAACGGACATTTGGGAACTCCTGGAGGCCAGTGGCAAAAAAGAGAATATCCCAGGAGAAAAACTAGAAGAAAGCTATCTGAGAAACTGCTTTGTGATGTGTGCATTCATCTCACACAGTTAAATCTTTTTTAATTCAGAAGTTTTGAATCAATGTTTTTGTAGAATCTGCAAAGGGATATTTTGGAGCGCATTGTGGCCTATGGTGAAAAATGAATCTTCTTCAGACTAAAACTAGAAAGAAGCTTTCTGAGAAGCTGCTTTGTGATGTCTGCATTCAACTCACAGAGGTAAACCTTTCTTTTGATTCATAACTTTGGAAACACTATTTTTGTCCATTCTGAGACACGACATTTGGGAGCTAATTGAGGCCAATGGCAAAAAAGTGAATATCCCATGATAAAAAGTAGAAGGAAGCTAGCTGAGAAACTGATTTGTGATGTTTGCATTCATCTCTGAGAGTTAAACCTTTCTTTTCATGCAGCAGTTTGGAAACACTGTTTTTGTAGAATCTGCAAAGAGATATTTCATAGTGCCCTGAGGCCTATGGTGAAAAAAGAAACAGTTTCAGAAAAAAACCTAGAAAGAAGCTTTCTTAGAAACTGCTTTCTGATGTGTGCATTCATCTCACAGAGTTAAGCCATTCTTTTGATTGAGCAGTTTGGAATCACTGTTTTTGTAGAAACTGTGAAGTGATATTTAGGAGGGCATTGAAGCCCTCCTAAATATCTTCAGAAAATGTCTTCAGATAGAAACTAGAAAGAAGCTTTCTGAGAAATTCTTTTTGTGATGTGTGCATTCATCTCACAGAGTTAAACCTTTCTTAGGATTCAGTCGTTGGGAAACACTGTTTTTTTTCCATTCTGTGAATGGATATTTGGGAGCTTATTGAGGCCAATTGTGAAAAAGCGAATATCCCAGGATAAAACAAGTAGGACGGTATCTGAGGAACCATTTTGTGATGTGTGCATTCATTTCGCAGAGTTAAACATTTCTTTTCATTCTGCAGTTTAGAACCACTGTTTTATAGAATCTGCGAAGTGATATTTGGGAGTGAACTGAGGCCTATGGTGAAAAAGGTAACAACTTCGGATTTAAAATAGAAAGAAGCTTTCTGAGAAACTGCTTTGTGATGTCTCCATTCATCTCAAAGAGATAAACATTTCTTTTTTTTCAGCAGTTTGGAAACACTGTTTTTGTCCATTCTGTGAATGGACACTTGGGAGCTCATTGAGGCCAATGGCAAAAAATCAAATATCCCAGTATAAAAACTGGAAGGAAGCTATCTGAGAAACCACTTTGTGTTGTGTGCATTCATCTCACAGAGTTCAACATTTATTTTGATTCAGCAGTTCAGAAACACTCTTTTTGTCCATTCGCACAATGGATATTTGGGAGCTCATACAGGCCAAAGGCAAAAAGTTTTATCCGAGGATAAAAACTAGAAGGAAGCTATCTGAAAAACTGCTTTGTGATGTGTGCATTCATCTCGCAGAGATAAAATTCTCTTTTCTTTCAGCACATTGGAGACACTGTTTCTATGGAATCAGTGAAGGGATATTTGGGAGGGCATTGAGGCCTATGGTGAGAAAGAAAACACGTTCAGCTTAAAACTAGAAAGAAGCTTTCTGAGAATCTGCTTTGTGATATGTGCATTCATCTCACAGAGTTAAATCTGTCTTTGGATTCAGCAGATTGGAAAATATGTTTTTGTCTATTCTGTGAATGGACATTTGGGAGCTCATTGAGGCCAACTGCAAAAAAATCGAATATCCCAGGATAAAAACTAGAAGGAAGCTCCGTGAGAAACCACTTTGTGATGTCTGCTTTCATCTCACAGAGTTAAAACTTTCTTTTCATTCAGCAGTTTGGAAACACTGTTTTTGTAGGATCTGTGAAGGGATATTAAAGAGTGCATTAAGGTGCAAGGTGAAAAAGGAAACATCTTCTGATAAAAACTAGATAGAAACTATTTGGAAAACCGTTTTGTGATGTGTGCATTCATCTTTCAGATTTAAACCATTTTTTGGATTCAGCAATTTGGAAACGCGTACTTTGTGCATTCTAGGAATCGACATTTTCAAGCTCATTGAGGCCAAAGGTGAAAAAGGAAATATCATATGATACAAACTAGAAGAAAGCTATCTGAGAAATTGCTATGTGATGTGTGCATTAATCTCATGGAGATAAACTTCTCTTTTCATTTAGCAGTTCGGAAACACTGTTTTTTTTTTAGAATGTGGGAAGGGATCTTTGTGAGTGCATTGAAGCCTATGGTAAAAGGAAACATCTTCAGATAAAACAAGAAAAAAGCTTTCTGAGAAACTGCTTTGTAAAGTTTAACTCACAGAGATAAAACTTTCTTTGGATTCAGCAGTTTGGAAACAGTGCTTTTGTCCATTCTGAGAATGGTCATTTGGGAGCTCATTGAGGCCAATGGTGAAAAAGCTAATATACTATGATAAAAAACCAGAAGGAAGCTCTCTGAGAAACTGCTCTGTGATGTGTGCATTCATCTCACAGAGTTAAACCTTTCTTTTGATTGAGCAGTTTGGAAACACTGTTTTTGTGCATTCTGTGAATAGATATTTTGGAGCTCATTGAGGCCAATGGTGATAAAGCTAATATCCCAGGACAAAAACTAGAAGGAATCTATGTGATAAACCACTTTGTGATGTGTGCATTCATCTCACAGAGTTAAACCTTTCTTTTTATGCAGCAGTTTGGAAACAGTTTTTGTGCATTCTGTGAATGGACATTTTGCAGCTCATTGAGGTCTACAGTGAAATAGGAAACATCTACACATAAAAACTAGACCGAAGCTTTCTGAGAAACTGCTTTGTGATGTGTGCATTCAGCTCTCAGTTAAATATTTCTCTCAAACCGGCAGTTTGGAAACACTGCTTTTGCCCATTCTGTGAATGGACTTTTGGAAGCTCACTGAGGCCAATGTCAAAAAAGCTAATAACCCAGGAGAAAAAACAGAAGGAAGTCTTCTGAGAAACTACTTTTTGGTGTGTGCATTCATCTCACAGAGGTAAACATTTGTTTTCATTCAACAGTTCAGAAACACTATTTTTGTAAAATCTGCGATGGGATGTCTCTGAGCGCGTTGAGGCCTATGGTGAAAAAGGAAATATCTTCAGATAAAAAGAAGAAAAAACTTTCTGAGAAAATTCTATGTGATGTTGTGCATTCACCTCACAGTGTTAAACATTTCTTTGGATCCAGTAGTTTGGAAACCCTGTTTTTGTGCATTTTGCAAGTGAACATTTGGAGCTCATTGAGGGCAATGGTGACAGAAAGCTTATCCCCTGATTAAAACTAGAAGAAAGCTAACTGAGAAACCCTTTTGTGATGTGTACATTAATCTCACAGAGTTAAACCTTTTTTTTCATTCAGCAGTTTGGAAACACTGTTTTTGTATAATCTGCAAAGGAATATTTGGGAGAACATTGTGGCGTATGGTGAAAAAGGAAACTTCTTCAGATAAAAAATCGAAAGAAACTTTCTGTGAAAGAGCTTTGTGACATATGCATTCATCTCACAGAGTTAAACCATTTTTGGAACTCAGCAGCTTGGAGACACTGTTTTTGTAGAAACTGAGAAGGGATATTTGGGAGCGCATTGAGGCCTATGGGGAAAAAGGAAATATCTTCAGATAAAAACTGGAAAGAAACTTTCTAAGAAACTGCTTTGTGATGTGGGCATTCATCTCACAGAGATAAAATTTTCGTTTCATTCAAAGGTTCAGAAACACTGTTTTGTAGAAACTTCAAAGGAATATTTGGGAGTGAATTGAGGCCTATAATTAAGAAGGAAGTATTTTTCAGTTAAAAACTAGATGGAAGCTTTCTGAGAAACTGCTTTGTGATGTGTGCATTCATCTCACAGAGGTAAACCTTTCTTTTGATTCAGCAGATTGGAAACGCGGTTTTTGTCCATTCTGTGAGTGCACACTTGGGAGCTCGTTGAGGCCAATGGTGAAAAAGGAAATATCCCAATATAAAAACTTGAAGGAAGCTATCTGAGAAACCACTTTGTGATGTGTGCATTTATTTCACAGAGTTAAAGGTTTCTTTTCATTCAGCAGTTTAGAAATGCTGTTTTTGTAGAATCTGCAAAGGGATATTTGGGAGCACATTGAGGCCTATGGCAAAAAAGAAAATATCTTCAGATAAAAAGTAGAAAGAAACTCTCAGAGAAACTGCTCTGTGAGGTATGCATTTGTCTCACAGATTTTAACCAATTCAGCAGTTTGAAAACTCTGTTTTGGTTCGTTCTGAGAATGGACATTTGTGATCTCATTGAGGCCAGTGGTGAAAAAGCTAATATCCCAGGATGAAAACTGAAAGAAGTGATCTCAGAAACTGCTTTGTGATGTGTGCATTCATCTAATAGAGTTAAAAAGTTCTTTTCATTCCACAACTTGGAAACACAGTTTTTGTAGGATCTGTGAATGGATATTTGGAGCTCTTTGAGGCCTATGGTGAAAAAGAAAATATCTTCAGATTAAAACAGGAACGAAGCTTTCAGAGAAACTGCTTTGTGATGTGTGTATTCATCTCACAGTGTTAAACATTCATTTTGTATCAGAGGTTTGGAAACACTGTTTTTTAGAATCTGCAAAGGGACTTTGAGAGTGCTTTTAGTAATATGGTGAAAAATAAAATATCTTAAGATAGAAACTAAAAAGCATCTTTCTGAGCACCTGCTTTCTGATGTGTGTATTCATCTCACAAAGTTAAAATTTTCTCTTGATGCAGCAGTTTGTAAACATGGTTTTTGTCCATTCCATGAGTGGACGTTTTTAGCTCATCAAGGCCATTCATGAAAAAGCAAATATCCACGGATAAAAACTTGAAGGAAGCTATCTGAGAAACCCCTTTGGATGTTTTCATTAAGCAGTTTGGAAACACTGCTTTTGTATAATCTGTGAAGGGATATTTGGGAGTGCATTGAGCCATATGTTGAAAAAGAACAAATCTTCAGATATAAACGACAAGGAAACATTATGAGAAACTGCCTTCTGATGTGTGCATTCATCTCCAGATTTAAACCTTTCTTTTGATTCAGAATTTTGGAGACACTGTTTTTGTAGAAACTTCAAAGGGATATTTGGGAGCACCTTCAGGTCTATGGGGAAAAAGTTAATATGTTTAGATAAAACTAGAAAGAAAATTTCTGAGAAATTGCTTTGTGATGTGTGCATTCATACCACAGAGTTAAATCCTTCTTTTAATTCAGCAGTTTGGAAACACCTTTTTTGTCCATTCTGCGAATGGACATTTGGGAACTCAATGAGGCCAATAGCAAAAAAGTGAATATCCCATGATAAAAACTGGCAGGAATCCATCTAAGAACCTGCTTTGTGATATGTTCATCTCACATTCATTCATCTCACAGAGTTAAACCTTTCTTTTCACTCAGCAATTTGGAAACACTGTTTTTGTGGAATCTGAGAAGGGATATTTTGGAGCAGATTGAGGCCTATGGTGAAAAAGGAAACATCTTCAGATAAAAAATATAAAGAAGCTTTCTGAGAAACTGCTTTGTTAAGTGTGAATTCACCTCAGAGAGTTAAAAATTTCTTTTGATTCAGCAATTTGGAAACACTCTTTTTGTCCATTTAGCAAATGGATATTTGCGAACTCTGAGCTCCTTGATTCCAATGGCAAAAAAGTGAATATCCCAGGATAAAAACTAGAAGGAAGCCCTCTGAGAAACGGCTTTTTGATGTGTGCATTCATTTCACAGATCTCACAGAGTTAATTCTTTCTTTTGATTCAGCAGTTTGGAAACCCTGTTTTTGTCCATTCTGTGAATGGATATTTGGGAGATTATTGAGGACAATGGTTTAAAAGCAAGTACCCCAGGATAAAAACTAGAAGGAAGCTATCTGAGAAACCACTTTGTGATGTGTGCATTCATCTTGCAGAGTTAAATGGTTCTTTTCATTCAGAAGTTTGGAAACACTGATTTCGTAGAATCTGCAAAGGGATATTTGGGAGTGCATTGAGGCCTGTGTTCAAAAGGAAAATACCTTCAGATAAAAAATAGACACAAACTTTCTGAAAAAGTGCTTTTTGATGTGTGCATTCATCTCAAAGAGTTAAGTTTTCCTTTGATTCAGAGATTTGGAAACACTGTTTTTTTAGAATCTGTGAAGAGACATTTCAGAGAGCATTGAGGCCTATGGTGAAAAAGAGAAAATCGTAAGATAAAATTAGATAGAAGCTTTCTGAGAAAGTGCTTTTTAGTGTGTGTATTCATCTCACACAGTTAAAACTTTCTTTTGATTCAGCAGTTTGGAATTCACTCTTTTTCTAGAATTTCCAAAGGCGTATTTGGGAGTGCTTTGAGGCCTATGGTGAAAAAGAAAATATTTTCCGATAGAAACTAGAAAGTAGCTTTCTGAGAAACTCCTTTGTGATGTATGCATTCATTCCACAGAGTTAAAATTTCTGTTGATTCAGCAGTTTGGAAACACTGTTTTTGTCGATTCTGCGAATGGATATTTGGGAACTCATTGAGGCCAATTGTGAAAAAGGAAATATCACAGGATAAAACTAGAAGGAAGGTATCTGAGTAACCATTTTGTGATGTGTGAATTCATCTAACAGAGTCAAACCATTCTTTTCACTCAGCAGTTTGGTAAAATTGTTTCTGTAGAATCTGTGAAGGGATATTTGCTAGCCCATTCAGGCCTTTGGAGAAAAAGAAAATATCTTCAGATAAAAACTAGAAACAAGCTTTCTGAGAAACTGCTTTGTGATGTGTGCATTTGTCTCACAGAGTTAAACCTTAGTTTTGACTTAGCAGTTTGGAAACGCTGTTTTTTTCCACTCTGCTAATGGACATTTTGGAGCCCATTGAGGCCAATGGCATAAAAGCAAATATCCCAGGATAAAAATGAGAAGGAATCTATCTGAGAAAATGCTTTTTGTCTTGTGTATTCGTCTCACAGAGTTAAACTTTTCTTTGAATTCTGCAGTTTTGAAACACTGTTTTTGCAGAATCTGTGAAGGTATATTTGGGAGCACAATGAAGTCTACTTGAAAAACAAAATATCTTCAGATATCAAATAGAAAGGAACTTTCTGAGAAAATCTATGAAATATGTGCATTGATCTCACAGAGTTAATCCTTTCTTTGGATTCAGAAGTTTGGAAACACTGTTTTTATATAATCTGTGAAGGGATACTTGGAAGCACATTGACACTTATGGTGAAAAACAAAATATACTCAGATAAAAAGTAGAAAGAAGCTTGCTGAGAAATGTTTTGCAATGTGTGCATTAATCTCCCAGATGTAAAGAATTCTTTTTTTCAGCACTTTGAAAACTATTTTTGACCATTCTACAATGGACAGTTGGAGGTCATTAAGGCCCATAGTGAAAAAGAGAATATCCCAGGATAAATACTAGAAGAAAGCTATCTGAGAAACCACTTTCTAATGCATGCATTCATCTCACAGAGTGAAAACTTTCTTTTCATTCAGCTGTTTGGAAACACTGTTTTTGGAGAATCTGTGAAGGGATATTTTAGGGTACATTGAGGTATATGGTGAAAAAGAAAATATTCAGATAAACCCTAGAAAGTAGCTTTATGAGAAACTGCTTTGTGATTGTTCATTTGTCTTGCAGAGTTAATCCTTACTTTCAATTCAGAAGTTTGGAAACACTGTTTTTGTAGAATCTGCGAAGGTATATTTGGGAGTACAATGCAGCATACAGTGAAAAACAAAGTATATTCAGATAAAAATTAGAAAGAGACTTTCTGAGAAAGTACTTTTATGTGTGTGCATTCATCTCACAGTGTTCAAACTTTCTCTTAATTCAGTAGTTTGGAAACACTGTTTTGGTCCATTCTGTGAATGGACATTTGGGAGCTCATTTAGGCCAATGGTGAAAAGAGAATATCCCAGGATAAAAAATTAAGGAAAGCTATATGGAAACCGTTTTATGATGTGTGCATTCATCTTGCAGAGGCCAACGTTTCTTCTGATTCAGCAGTTCAGAAACATTGTTTTTGTAGAATATGCAAAGGGATATTTGGGAGCTCATTGAGGCCTATGATGAAAAAGAAAATATCTTCAGATAAAAATTAGAAAGAAGCTTTCTGTGAAGTTGCTTTGTGATGTGTGCTGTCATTTCACAGAGTTAAAACTTTCCTGTGATCCAGCAGTTTAGAAACACTGTTTTTCTAGAATCTGTGAAGGGATATTGGGGAGCATATTTAAGCCTAAGGTAAAAAAAAAAAGATATTCAGATGTATTCTAGAAAGAAGATTTCTGAGAAACTCTTTTGTGATGTGTGCATTAATCTCAGAGTTAAACCTTTCTTTTCATTCAGTAGTTTGGAAACACTGTTTTGGTCCATTCTGTGAATGGACATTTGGGAGCTCATTTAGGCCAATGATGAAAAGGGAATATCCCAAGAAAAAAAATGAAAGGAAGCTAACTGAGAAACTGTCTTGTGATGCATGCATTTATCTTGCAGAGGTCTACATTTCTTTTGATCCAGCAGTTTGGAAACACTGTCTTTCTGGAATATGTGAAGGAATATTTGGGAGCACATTGAGGCCTATGATGAAAAAGAAAATATCTTCAGATAAAAATTAGAAAGAAGCTTTCTGTGAAGCTGCTTTGTGTTGTGTGCATTAATCTCACATAGTTAAATCTTTCTTTTCATTCAGTAGTTTGGAAACACTGTTTTGGTCCATTCTGTGAATGGATATTTGGGAGCTCATTTAGGCCAATGGCAAAAAGGGAATATCCCAGGATAAAAAGTGAAACGAAGCAAACTGAGAAACTGTTTTGTGATGTGTGCTTTCATCTCACAGAGGTCTATATTTCTTTTGATTCAGCAGTTTGGAAACACTGTCTTTCTAGAATATGTGAAGGAGTATGTGGGAGCATACTGAGGCCAATAATGAAAAAGAAAATATTTGCAGATAAAAATTAGAAAGAAGCTTTCTGTGAAGCTGCTTTGTAATGTGTGCATTCATCTCAGAGTTAAACCTTTATTTTGATTCAGCAGTTTAGAAACACTGCTTTTTCTAGAATCTGTAAAGGGATATTGGGGAGTGCATTTAGGCCTATGGTGAAAAAGAAAACATCTTCAGATGTAAACTAGAAAGAAGCTTTATGAGAAATGGTTTTGTGATGTGTGCATTAATCTCAGAGTTAAACCTTTCGTTTCATTCAGCAGTTTGGAAACATGGCTTTTGTCCATTCTGCAAATGGGCTTTTGGGAGCTCATTGAGGCCTACGGAGAAAAAGCGAATATCCCAAGATAAAATCTAGAGGGAAGCAATCTAAGAAACCACTTTTTGATGTTAATCCTTTCTTTGAATTCAGCATGTTCAAAACACTGTTTTTGTAGAAACTGCAAGGGTATATTTGGGAGTGAAAAGAGCCCTACAGAGGAAAACAAAATATCTTCAGATAAAAACTAGAAAGAAGCTTTCTGAGAAACTGCTGTGAGATGTGTTCATTGATCTCACAGAGTTCAAAGTTTCTTTTGATACAGCAGTTTAGAAACACTGTTTTTGTCCATTCTGCGAATGGGCATTTCGGATCTCATTGAGGCCAATGGTGAAAAAGCAAATATCTGACGATAAAATCTTGCGCAAAGTTATATGAGAAACCACTTTGTAACATGTGCATTCATCTCGCAGTGTTAAACCTTTCTTTTCCTTCATCAGTTTGGAAATACTGTTTTTGTAGAATCTACGATAGGATATTTTGGAGGGCATTGAGGCCTGTGGTGAAAAAGAAAATATCTGCAGATAAAAACTAGAAAGAAACTTTCTGAGAAACTCTTTCATGATATGTTCATTCATCTCACAGAATTAAAACCCTTTTTATTCAGCAGTTTAGAAGTACTGGTTTTGTCCATTCTGTGAATTGACATTTGGGCGCTCATTGAAGCCAATGGCAAAAAACAGAATATTGCAGCATAAAAAATAGTAGGAAGTTATCTAAGAAAATGCTTTGTGATGTGTGAATTCATCTCGTATAGTTAAACATTTCTTTCCATTCAGCCGTTTAGAAACACTGTTTTTGTATATTCTGCTTAGGGGTATTTGAGAGCACATTGAGGTCTGTGGTGAAAAACAAAATATCTTCAGATAAAAACTAGAAAGAAGCTTTCCCAGAAACTGCTTTGTGATGTGTGCATTTATCTACCTGAATTAAACTATTGTTTGGATTCAGCAGTTTGGAAACACTCTTTTTGTCCTTTCTGTGAATGGACATATTGGAGGTCATTGAGACCAGTGGTGAAAAAGTGAATAACCCATATAAAAACTAGAAGGAAGCTGTCTGAGAAACTGCTTTGTGATGTCTGCTTTCATCTCACAGATTTAATCCTTTCTTTTCATGCAGCATTTTGGAAACACTGTTTTCGTAGAAACTGCAAAGGGATATTGGAGTGCATGGAGGCCTGTGGTGAAAAAGGAAACATCTTCAGATAAAAACAAGAATGAAGCATTGTAAGAAACTACTTTGTGATGTGCGCATTCATCTCACAGAGTTAAAATTTGCTTTTCTTTCAGCAGTTTGGAAACACTGTTTTTGTAAATTATGCAAAGGGATATTTGGGAGACCATTGAGGCCTATGGTGAAAAAGGAAACATATTCAGATAAAATCAAGAATGAAGCATTGTGAGAAACTGCTTTGTGATGTGTGCATTCATCTCATAGAGTTAAAATTTGCTTTTCTTTCAGCAGTTTGGAAACACTGTTTTTGTAAAATCTGCAAAGGGGTATTTGGGAGACCATTGAGGCCTATGGTGAAAAAGGAAATAAATAAAGATAAAAACTTGAAAGAAACTTTCAGAGAAACTACTTTGTGATTTGTGCATTCATCTCACAGATTTAAACCTTTCTTTTGATTCAGCAATTTGGAAACACTGTTTTTGTCGACTCTGTGAATGGACATTTGAGAGTATGTCGAGGTCAATGGAGAAAAAGTGAATATCCCAGGAAACAAACTAGAAGGAAGCTACCAGAGAAACCCCGTTGTCACGTGTGCATTCATCTTACAGACTTTAACATTGATGCAACCAGTGAAAAAGGAGACATCTGCAGATAAAAACTAGAAAGAAGCTTGGTGAGAAACTGCTTTGTGATGTGTGCATTCATCTCACAGATTTAATCATTTCTTTCCTCTCAGCAGTTTGGAAAACCTGTTTTTCTTGAATCCTTGAAGGGATATTTGGGAGCGCATGGAGGCCTATGGTGAAAAAGGAAACTTCTTCAGATAAAAACAGAAATAAGCTTTCTAATAAACTGAATTTTGATGTGCACTTTCATCTCACAGAGTTAAAACTTTATTTGGATTCAGCACTTTGGAAACATCGTTTTTTTCCATTCTGCCAATGGATATTTGAGAGCTCATTGAGGCCAATGGTGAAAAAGCGAATATCACAAGATAAAAATTAGAAGGAAGCTCTCTGAGAAACCACTTTGTGATGTGTGCATTCACCTCACAAAGATAAAACATGCTTTTCTTTCAGCAGTCTGGAAACACTGTTTTTTTAGAATCTGTGAAGGGATATTTTGAAGCACAATAAGGCCTATGGTGAAAAAGGAAACATCTTCAGATAAAGACAAGAAATAAGCTTTCTGAGAAACTGCTTTGTAATGTGTGCATTCATCTCAAAGAGTTAAATCTTCCTTTGGATTAAGCAGTTTGGAAACAGTCTTTTTGTCCACTCTGCAAATGGAAATTTTTGAGCTCATTGAGGCCAATGGTGAAAGAGAGAATATCCCAAGATAAAAACAAGAAGGAAGCTATCATAGAAACCGCTTTGTGACGTGTGCATTCATCTCACTGAGTTAAACATTTCCTTTCATTCGGCAGTTTGTAAAAACTGTTTTTGTAGAAGCTGTAAAAGGATATTTGGGAGCACATTGAGGCCTATGGTGGAAAGGGAAATATCTTCAGAAAAGGGAATATCTTCAGAAAAAAACAAGAATCTTTCTGAGAAACTGCTTTGTGATGTATGCATTCATCTCACAGTGTTTAAACTTTCTTTTGTTTCAGCAATTTGGAAACACTGTTTTTGTCCATTCTATGAGTGGATATTTGGGAGCTTTTTCAGGCCATTGGCAAAAAAGGATTATCCCAGTGTAAAAACTAGGAAGAAGATTTCTTAGGAGCTGCTTTGTGATATGTGCATTCATCTCCCAGAGTTAAAACTTTCTTTGGATTCAGCAGTTTGGAAACAGTTTTTGTCCATTCTGCGAATTGCCATTTGGGAGCTCATTCAGGCTAAAGGTGAAAAAGTGAATATCTCAGCATAATAAATTGAAGGAAGGTATCTTAGAAACTGCTAGGTGATGTGTGTATTCATCTCACAGATGTAAAACTTTCTTTTCATTCAGCAGTTTGGAAACACTGTTTTTGTAGAATCTGCAAGGGGATACTTGGGAGCACATTGAGGCCTGTGGTGAAAAATGAAACAACTTCAGATAAAAACTAGAAATAAACTTTCTGAGAAACTGTTGTGATGTGTGCATTCAAATCACAGAGTTAAACCTTTCTTTTTATTCAGCATGTTGGAAACACTGTTTTTGTTAATTCAGCAAATGGACATTTGGGAGAGCATTGAGGCCAATGGTGAAAATGTAAATTTCCCAGGTTTACAACTAGAAGGAAGCTATCTGAGAAACCATTTATGATGTGTGTATTCATCTTGCAGAGTTAAACCCTTCTTTTAATACAGCAGTTTGGAAACTGCAGAATGTCCATTCTGCAAATGGACATTTGGAAGCTCATTGAGGCCAATGGCAAAAAAGTGAATAAGCCAGGATAAAAACTAGAAGAAACCACTGAGAAACCACTTTGTGAGGTGTGCATTCATTGCATAGAGCTAAAACTTTCTTTTCATTCAGCAGGTTGAAAACACTGCTTTTGTAGAATCTGTGAAGGGATATTTGAGAGCACATTGGGGCCTATGGTCAAAATGGAAACAATTCAGATAAAAACTACAAAGAAGTTTCTGAGAAACTGCTTGTGATGTGTGCATTCATCTCAAAGTGTTAAACCTTACTTTTTATTCAGCACTTAGGGAACACTATTTTTGTCCATTCTGTGAATGGATATTTGGCAGCCCTTCTAGGCCAATGGCAAAGAAGTGAATATCCCAGGCTAAAAACTAGAAGAAAGCTTTCTGAGAAACTGATTTGTGATCTGTGCATTCATCTCACAGGATTAAAATTTTCTTTACATTCAGCAGTTTGGAAACACTGTTTTTGTCCATTCTGCGAATGGACATTTGGGAGCACATTGAGGTCAATGGTGAAAAACCGAATATCCCAGCATAAAACAAGGAAGAAATTCTCTGAGAAACTGCCTTGTGATGTGTGCATTCATCTAGCAGAGTAAAACTTTTTTTTCACTCAGGAGTTTTGAAAAACAGTTTTTGTCAGATCTGCCATTTGTTATTTGGGAGAGAATTGAGGACTATGGTGAAAAAGGAAACATCTTCAGATAAAAACTAGAAAGAAGCTTTCTGAGAAACTGCTTAGTGATGTTTGCATTCACCTCACAGAGATAAACCTTTTCTTGGGTTCAGCAGGTGGAAACACTGTTTTTGTGCATTCTGTGAATGGACATTTAGGAGCTCATTGAGGCAAATGGCAAAGAAGGGAGTATTCCAGCATAAAAACTAGAAGGAAGCTCTCTGAGAAACCAATTTGTGATGTGTGCTTTCACCTCGCAGAGTTAAACCTTTCTTTTCATTCAGTAGTTTGGAAACACTGTTTTTGTAGAATCTGTGAAGGCATATTTGGGAATGCATTCAGGCCCATGGTGAAAAAGGAATCCCATTCAGATAAAAAATAGAAAGAAACTTTCTGCGAATGTGCTTTGTGATATCTGCGTTTATGTCACAGAGTTAAACCTTTCTTTGGATTCAGCAATTTGGAAACATTGTTTTTGACCTTTCTGTGAATGGACATCTGGGAGCTCATCAAGGCCAATGGTGAAAAAGTGAATATCCCAGGATAAGAAGTAGAAGGAAGCTATTAGAGAAACCACTTTGTGATGTGTGGATTCATCTCTCAGAGTTAAATATTGTTTTAAATTCAGCAGTTTGGAAACACTGTGTTTGTGGAATCTTCGAAGAGATATTTGGGAGTGCTTGGAGGTCAATGGTGAAAAAATGAATATCCCACAATAAAAACTAGAAGGAAGCTACCTGATAAACCACTTTGTGCTGTGTGCATCCATCCTGCAGAGTTAAACATTTCTTTTCGTTCATCAGTTTGGAAACACTGTATTTCTAGGATCTATGAAGGGATATTCGTGAGTTCATTGACATCAACGGTGAAAAAGGAAACATCTTCAGATAAAAACTAGAAGGAAACTTTATGAGAAACTGCTTCGTGAAGTGTGCATTCATCTCACAAAGTTAAACTTTTCTTTTGATTCAGCAGTTTGGAAACCCTGTTTTTCTCCATTCTGTGAACAGACATTTGAGAACTCATTGTGGCCAAAAATGAAAAAGTGAATATCCTAGGATAAAAATTAGAAGGAAGCTATCTGAGAGTCAGATTTGTGATGTGTACATTCAACTTGCAGAGTTAAAACTTTCCTTTCATTCAGCAGTTTGGAAACACTGTTTCTGTAGAATCTCTGAAGGGATATTTGGGAGAGCATTAAGGTCTATTTTGATAAAGAAAATATCTTCAGATAAAAATTAGAAAGAAACTTTCTAAGAAACGGCTTTGTGATGTGTGCATTCATCTCACAGAGTTAAACATTGTTTTTATTCAGCAGTTTGGAAACACAGTTCTGTGAATGGACATTTGGGGGCTCATTGAGGCCAATGGTGAATAAGCAAATATCCCAGGGTAAAAACAAGAAGGAAGATATCTGGGAAATCACTTTGTGATGTGTGCATTCATTTTCCAGAGTGAGACATTTATTTTCATTCAGCTTTTCGGAAACACTGTCTTTGTACAATCGGCAAAGCTATATTTCGGAGTGCATTGAGGCCTGTGGTAATAAAGAAATATCTTCAGATAAAAACTAAAAAGAAGATTACTGAGAAACCACTTTCTAATGTGTGCATTTATCTCACAGAGTTAAACATTTCATTTGATTAGGCAGTTTGGAAACACTGTTTTTGTGCATTCTGTGGATGGACATTTGGGATTTCATTGAGGCCAATGATGAAAAAGTGAATATCCCATTATAAAAACTAGAAGGAAGTTATCTGAAAAACAGCTTGTGATGTGTGCATTTATCTCAAAGAGGTAATAATACTTTCTTTTCATTCACCAGTTTGGAAACACTGTCTTTGTAGAATCTGTGAAACATATTTGGGAGCATATTGAGACTGATGATGAAAAACCAAATATCTTTAGAAAAAAAAAGAAAGAAGCTTTCTGATAAATTGCTTTGTTATCTGTGCGTTCATCTCACAGAGTTAAAACTTCCTATTGATTCATCAGTTTGGAAAAACTGGTTTTGTAGAATCTATGAAGGGATATTTTGGAGAGTTTTGAGGTCTACTGTGAAAAAGAAATTGTCTTCAGATAAAAACTATAATCTTTCTGAGAAATTACTTTGTGATGTGTGCATTCATCTCACAGAGTTAAAACTTTCTTTTCATTCAGCAGTTTGGAAATTCTGTTTTTCCTCATTCTGCAAATGATCATTTTGGAGCTCATTGAGAGCAATGGCAATAAATTGAATATCCCAGGATAAAAACTAGAAGGAAGTTATCTGAGAAACTCCTTTGTGATGTGTGCATCCATCTCACAAAGTTAAAATTTTCTTTTCCTTCAACAGCTTGGAAACACTGTTTTTGTACAATCTTTGAAGAGATATTTGGGAGCACATTGAGGCCAATGGAGAAAAAGAAAATAACTTCAGATAAAAACTGGAAAGATGCTATCTGAGAAACTTTTTTGTGATATGTGTATTCATCTCACAGATTTCAACATTTCTTTTGATTCATCAGTTTGGAAACACTGTTTTTGTCCATTCTGCAAATGGAAATTTGTGAGAACGTTGAGGTCAAGGCAAAAACACCAATATTCCAGCATAAAAACTAGAAGGAAGGTATCTGAGAAACCGCATTGTAATGTGCACATTCATCTCACAGAGTTAAAACATTCTTCTCATTCAGCAGTTTGGAAACACTGCTTCTGTACAAAGTGCAAATATATATTTGGGAGCGCACTGAGGCTTACTGTGAAAAACAAAATATTTTTAGATAAAAACTAGAAGGAAGATTTCTGAGAAACTGCTATTAGGTTTGTGCATTCCTCTCACAGAGTTCAACATTTATTTTGATTCAGCAGTTTGGAAACACTGTTTTTATCCATTCTCCAAATGGACATTTGGGAGCTCATTGAGGCCAGTGGTGAAAAAGCAACTATCTGAAGATAAAATCTAGAAGGAAACTATCTGAGAAACTGCTTTGTGATATGTGCATCTGTCTCACAGACTTAAAATTTTCTTTTCATTCAGCAGTGTGGAAACACCGTTTTTGTAGAAACTGCAAAATGATATTTGGGAGTGCATCGAGGACTATGTTGAAAAATAACATATCTTCGGATAATAACCAGAAAGAATCTTTATAAGAAACTGCTTTGTGATGTGTGCATTCATCTCATAGAGTTAAACTTTTGATTTGATTCAGCAGTTTGGAGACACTGATTTTGTAAAATCTGCGAATTGATATTTGGGAGTGCATTGAGGCATATGGTGAAAAGGAAAATATCTTCAGATAAAAACTAGAAAGAAGCTTTCTGAGAAACTACTTTGTGATGTGTGCATTCATCTCAGAGAGTTAAACCTTTCTTTTGATTCAGCCATTTGAAACACTCTTTTTATCCATTATGCTAATGGACATTTGGGATCCCATTGGGACCAATGGTGAAAACGAGAATATCCCAGGTTAAAAATAGAAGGATTCAATCTGAGGAAATGCTTTTTGATGTGTGCATTCATCTCACAGGATTAAAATTTTCTTTTCATTCAGCGATTTGGAAACTGATTTTGCAGAATCTGAAGGGATATTTGTAAGCAATTTGAGGCCTATTTTGCAAAAGAAATTATCTTCAGATAAAAACTATTAAGATGCTTTCTGAAAACTGCCTTGTGATGTGTGCATCCATCTCACACAGTTAAACTTTCTTTTGATTGAACAGTTTGGAAACATTGTTTTTGTCCATTCTGTGAGTGGACATTTGGGAACTCAATGAGCCCAATGGTGAGAAAGCGAATATCCCAGGAAAAAACTAGAAGGAAGCTCTCTGAGAAACTGCTTTGTGATGTGCGCATTCATCCCACCAAGTTAAACTGCACTTTTTATTCTGTAGTTTGGAAACATTGTTTTTGTAGAATTCAAAAGAATAATGGGGAGCACAGGGAGGTCTATGTTGAAAAAGGAAATATCTTCAGATAAAAACTACAAAGAAGCTTCTGAGAAACTAGTTTGTAGTGTATGCTTTCGTCTCACAGAGTTAAAACTTTTTTTTGATTCAGCATGTTCATTCTGTGAATGGACATTTGTGAGCTCATTGAGGCCAAAGTCAAAAAAGTTAATATCCCAGGATAAAACTAGAAGGCAGCTATCTGTGAAACAGATTTGAGATGTTTGCATTCATCTCACAGAGTTAAACTTTTCTTTTCATTTAGTAGTTTGGAAACACTGTTTTTTTAGAATCTGTGAAGGGGTATTCTGGAGAGCATTTATCCCTATGTTGAAAAAGAAATCATCTTCGGATAAAAACTAGAAAGAAGATTTCTGAGACAGAGTTTTGTGATATGTGCACTCATCTCACTGAGTTAATCCTTTCTTTTTATTCAGTAGTTTGGAGGCACTCTTTTTATCCATTCTGTGAATGGACACCTGGGAGCTCATTGAGGAAATGGCGAATAAGTGAGTACCACAGGATAAAAGACAAAATGAAGCAATCAGAGAAACCCGTTGTGATGTGAGTATTCATTGCGCTGAGTGAAACCTTTCTTTTCATTCAGCAGTTTGGAAAAACTGTTTTTGTCCATTCTGTGAAGAGCAATTTTGGAGCTCATTGAGGGCAATGGCGACAAAGCCAATATCCCGAATAAAAACTTGAAGGAATTTACCTGAGAAGCTACTTTGTGATGTGTGCATTCATTTCAAAGAGTGAAATCTTTCTTTTCATCCAGCTGTTTTGAAACAGCTATCTGAGAAACCACTTTTTGATATGTGCATTGATCTCGCAGAGTTAAACCTTTCGTTTCATTCAGCAGTTTGGAAACACAGTTTTTGTAGAATCTGTGAAGGGATATTTGGGAGTGAATTGAGGCCTATGGTGAAAACGAAAATGTGGATAAAAAGTAGAAGGAAACTATATCAGAAACCACTTTGTAATGTGTGCATTCTACTCCCAGAGTTAAGCCTTTCTTTTCATTCAGCAGTTCGGAAACACGTCTTTGTAGAATCTGCGAATGGACATTTGGGAGCTCATTTTGACCAATGGCAAAAAACGGAATATCCCAGGTAAAAATCTAGAAGGAAGCTATCTGAGAAACTTCTTTGTGATGTGTGCACTTGGCTCACGGAGTTAAACCTTCTTTTTCATTAGGAGTTTGGTAGCACTGTTTTTGTAGAATCTGCGAAGGGATATTTGGGAGCACACTGAGGCCTATGGTGAAAAACAAAATATATTCAGATTAAAAATAGGAAGAAGCTTTCTGAGAAACTGGTTTGTGATGTGTACATTCACCTCACAGAGTTCAACCTTTCTTTTGTTTCAGCAGTCTGGAAACACTGTTTTTGTCCATTCTTTGAATTGACATTTGTGATCTCATTGAGGCCAATTGCAAAAAAGCAAGTATCGCTTGATTAAATCTAAAAGGAAGTTATCTGGTTAACTTCTTTGGATGTGTGCATTCATTTTGCAGATTTGAAACTTGTCTTTCATTTAGAGGTTTGGAAACACTGTGTTTGTACAATCTCAGAAGGGATATTTGGGAGTGCATTGAGTCCTGTGGTGAAATACAAAATATCTACAGATAAAAATCACAAGGATGCTATCTGAGAAACCACATTGTGATGTGTGCATTCAATTCACATAGTTAAACAGTTCTTTTCATTCAGCAATTTGGAGACACTTTATTTGTAGTATTTGTGAAGGGATATTTGGGAGCTCATTGAAGCCAACAGTGAAAAGGCGAATATCCCAGGAAAAAAACTAGAAGGAAGCTATCTGGGGAAACCGCTTTGTGGTGTGAGTATTCATCTCGTTGAGTTAATACTTTCTTTTCATTCAGCAGTTTGGAAACACTGTTTTTGAAGAATTTTTGAAGGGATATTTTGGAGAGCAATGAGGCCTATGGTGAAGAATAAAATGTCTTCACATAAAAACTAGAAAGAAGCTTTCAGATAAATTACTTTGTGATGTGTACATTCATCTCAGAGATAAAGTGCTTTTTTCATTAAGCAATTTGAAAAGACAGTTTTGTAGAATCTGCACAGGGATATTTGGGAGCTGATTGAGGCCAATGAAGAAAAAGCAAATATTCTCGGAAAAAAAACAGGACGAAGCTATCTGAGAAACCACTTTGTAATGTGTGCTTTCACCTCACAGAGTGAAACCTGTTTGGAAACACTGTTTTTGTACAATCTTTGAAGGGATATTTCAGAGGTTAATGAGGCAAATGGCATAAAAGCGAATATCCCAGGATAAAAACTGGAAGGAAGCTATCTCAGAATCCACTTTGTGATGTGCACATTCGTCTTGCAGAGTTAAACCATCCTTTCATTCAGCAGTTTGGAAACACTGTTTTTGTAGAATCTGCCAAGGGATATTTGGCAGCATATTTTGGCCTATAGTGAAAAAGTAAATAACATCAGATAAAAAGTAGAAAGATTTGTGAGAAATTGCTTTGTCACGTGTACATTCATCTCACAGAGTTAAACCTTTCTTTTGATTCTGCAGTTTGGAAACACCGTTTTTGCAGAATCTGAGAAGGGATGTTTGGGAGTGCTTTTAGGCCTATGGTGAAATAGAGAATATCTTCAGATAAAAACTAGAAAGAAGTTTTGTGACATACTGCTTTGTGATGTGTGCATTCATCTCACTGAGATAAACTTTCCTTTGATTCAGCACTTTGGAAACATTGTTTTTGTCTATTCTGTGAATGAACATTTTGGAGGTCATTGAGGCCAATGGCAGAAAAGTGAATATCCCAAGATAGAAACTAGAAGGAAGCTATCTGAGAAACTTCTTTGTGATGTGTGCATTCATCTCGCAGAGTTAAATGTTTCTTTATATTCAGCAGTTTGAAATCACTGTTTTTGTAGTATCTCAAAGGATATTTGGGAGCGCATTGGGTCCTATGGAGAAAAAAAAATCTTCAGATAAAAACTAGGAAGATTTCTGAGAAACTGCTTTTTTATGTGAACATTCATCTCACAGAGTTAAATATTTCCTTTGATTCAGCAGTTTGTTAACACTGTTTTTGTATATTCTGAAAATGGACATTTGGCAGATCATTGAGGCCAATGGCAAAAGAGCAAATATGCCAGGATAAAAACTAGAAGGTAGCTATCTGAGAAACCACATTGTGACGTGTACATTCATCTCACAGAGTTAAACCTTCCTTTTCATTCAGCAATTTGGAAACACTACATTGCAGAATCTGCTAAGGGATATTTCTGTCCCCATTGAGGACTATGGTGAAAAAGAAATATCTTCAGATAAAAATCAGAAAGAAGCTTTCTGAGAAACTGCTTTTTGATGTGTGAATTTATCTCACAGAGCTAATCCTTTCTTTTGATTCAGTAGTTTGGAGGCACTCTTTTTGTCCATTCTGCGAATGGACAACTGGGAGCTCTTTGAGGCCAATGGTGAATAAGAGAATATCCCAGGATAAAAACTAGAAGGAAGCTAACAGGGAAATTGCTTTGTGATGTGAGCATTCATTTTGCAGAGTGAAACATTTCTTTTCATTCAGCAGTTTGGAAAAATTGTTTTTCTCCATTCTGCAAATGGACATTTTGGAGCTCATTGAGGGCAATGGCGACATAGCCAATATCCCAGGATAAAAACTTGAAGGAATTTACTTGAGTAACCGCTTAGTGATGTGTGCATTAATTTCAAGGAGTGAAACCTTTCTTTTCATTCAGCTGTTTTGAAAGAGCTATGTGAGAAACCTCTTTGTGAAATGTGCATTTATCTCACAGAGTTAAACCTTTCTTTTCATTCAGCAGCTTGGAATCACAGTTTTTATAGAATCTACGAAAGGATATTTGGGAGCAAATTGAGGCCTATGGTGAAAAAAATATATAGATGAAACTAGAAGGAAGCTACATCAGAAACCGCTTTGTGATGTGTGCATTCATCTCCCAGAGTTAAATCTTTCTTTTCATTCAGCAGTTTGGAAACTGTGTTTTTGTAGAATCTGTGAAGGGATATTTGGGACCACATTGAGGCTTATGGTGAAAAACAAAATATCTTCAGATTAAAACTAGAGAGCAGCTTTCTGAGAAGCCAGTTCGTGTTGTGTGCATTCATCCCACAGAGTTCAACCTTTCTTTTGTCTCAGCAGTTTGGAAACAGTGTTTTTGTCCATTCTACGAGTTGACATTTCAGAGATCTTTGAGGCCAATGGTGAAAAAGTGAACATCCCAGGATAAAAACTAGAAGGAAGTTATCTGATAAATCATTTGTGAAGTGTGCATTCTTCTCACAGAGGTAAAATTTTCTTTTCATTCAACAGTTTGAAAACACTGTCTTTGTAGAATCTCTGAAGGGGTATTTGGGAATGAGGCCTATGATGAAAAACTAAACATCTTAAGATAAAAATAAGAAAGAAACATTCTGAGAAATTGTTTGTGATATGTGTATTCATCTCACAGAGTTAAATTTTTCTATTGATTCAGCACTATGGAAAAACTGATTTTGTAGAACCTGCAAAGGGATATTTTGGAGTGCTTTGAGGCTTATGGTGAAAAAGAAATTGTCTTCAGATAAAAACTAGAAAGAAGCTTTCTGAAATTCCACTTTGTGATCCGTGCATACATCACACAGAGATAAACCTTTCTTTTGATTCAGCAGTTTGGAAACACTGTTTGGACATTTCGGAGCTCACTGAGGCCAATGACAAAAAAGTGAATATCCCAGGATAAAAACTAGAAGAAAGTTATCTGAGAAACCACTTTGTGATGTGCACATTCATCTCATGGAGTTAAAACTTTCTTTTCATTCAATAGTTTGGAAACACAGTTTTTATAGTATCTGCGAAGGGATATTTGGAAGCACATTGAGGCCTATGGAAAAAAGAAGATACCTTCAGATAAAAAGTAGAAAGAAGCTTTCTGAGAAACCCTTTTGTGATATGTGCATTCATCTCATAGAGTGAAACCATTCTTTTGATTCAGCAGTTTAGAAACATTGTTTTTGTCCATTCTGTGAATGGACATTTTTGAGCTCATTGAGGTCAAAGGCAAAAAAGCAAATATCCCAGGATAAAAACAAGAAGAAAGCTATCTGGTAAACCACTTTGTGTTGTGTGCATTCATCTCACAGAGTTAAAGCATTCTTTTCATTCAGCAGTTTGGTAACACTACTTTTGTAGAATCTGTGAAAGGATATTTGGGAGAACATTGTGGCCTATAGGGAAAAATAATCTTCAGATACAAACTAGAAAGAAGCTTTGTGAGAAACTGCTTTGTGATGTGTGCATTAATCTCACAGAGTTAAACCTGTCTGTTCATTCAGCAGTTAGGAAATACTGCTTTTGTCCTTTTTGTGAATGGACATCTGGGAGCTCATTGAAAGGCAAATAGTGAAAAAGTGAATATCCCAGGATAAACACTAGAAGGAAGCGATATCCGAAACGTTTTTGTGATGTGTGTATTCATCTCATATAGTTCAACCTTTCTTTTCATTCAGCAGTTTGGAAACACTGTTTTTGTACATTCTGCGAATGGACATTTGTGAGCTCATTGAGGCCAATAGCAAAAAAACGAATATCCCATGATAAAAACTAGATGGAAGTTATCTGAGAAACAACTGTGTGATATGTGCATTCATCTCGCATATTTAAAACTTTCTTTTCATTCAGCAGATTGGAAACACTGTTAAAGTAGAATTTCCAAAGGGATATTTAGGAGAGCATTTAGGCCTATGGTGAAAAAGAAACATCTTCAGAACAAAACTAGAAAGAAGCTTTCTGAGAAACTATCGGGGAACATGCCCTGATAGTCACGTAGGTTCTTTTCTATCTTCCCTAAGCATTTGCTGGTTTGAGAAATAAAGGGACAGGGCACAAAAGAGAGAAATTTTAAAGCTGGAGGCCAGGGGCGACATCACATGTCGGTAGGTTCCGTGATGCCCCCCAAGCCACAAAACAAGCAAGATTTTATTATGGAGTTTCAAAACGGGAGGGAGTGTACAAATAAGTGTGAGTCACAGATATCAAGCTCTTCCCAAGGTAATAAAATATCACAAGGCAAGTGGAGGCAGGGTGAGATCTCAGGGCCACAGGACCAGGGTGAAATTAAAATTGTTAATCAAGTTTTGGGCACCATTGTCATTGATAATATCTTATAAGGAGACAGGGCTTTGAGAGCAACTGGTCTGACCAAAATTTATTAGGTGGGAATTTCCTCTTCCTAATAAGCCTGGGAGTGCTACGGGAGACTGGGTTCTATTTCACCCCTACAGTGTACAGACCACAAAAGACAGCCACTCCCAGGGGGCCAGTTCAGAGACCCACCCCCAGGTGTGCATTCTCTTTCTCAGGGATGTTCCTTGCTGAGAAAAAGAATTCAGTGTTATTTCTCCCATTTGCTTTTGAAAGAAGAGAAATATGGCTCTGTTCCGCCCAGCTCACTGGCAGTCAGAGTTTAAGGTTATCTCTCTTGTTTCCCAAGCATTGCTGTTAGCCTGTTCTTTTTTTGAAGGTGCCCAGATTTCATATTGTTTAAACACACATGCTCTACAATTTGTGTAGTTAACACAATTATCACATGGTCCTGAGGAGACATACATCTTCCTCATCTGACAGGATTAAGAGATTAAAGTAAAGACAGGCATAGGAAATCACAATGATGTTTATTGGGGAAGTGATAAGTGTCCATGAAATCTTCACAATTTATGTTTAGAGATTGCAGTAAATACAGGAATAAGAAATTATAAAAGTATTAATTTTGGGAACTAATAAATGTCCATGAATTCTTCACAATCCACATTCTTCTGCTATGGTTTCAGCTGGTCCCTCCTTTTGGGGTCCCTGACTTCCCACAACATCTCTCCTTTTCTTTTTATATGAATGTGCCATGGCAATGAAGGCTTGTTCATTCTCTCAATTTTGATGTAGGATTCTTGACTGATCCGGCACACTAAAAACAAGCCGATTAAACAGAGAAACATAATTCCAAAATTAACTACAGTGGAGCCTCAGTAGACTTAATCCAAGTCGTGGGGTTTAATCCATAAAGATTTTCTGCCACCTGATCTAATGCCTCAGCTCCAGGCACAAGGGATAAGTGAGCTTGAGAGGTTTCAAAAATTTGTTTCTTTAATTTAGTTATGTCCAATGATAAATTATCTTCCCTAACTAGAAGGTATCCTTTGACCATTTCCCATGAATGATCAGTCTCATTATAGGAATAGGGGTGATGCAGAAATCCAAAGTATTCCAATCGCACTGCATTTCCATGTGATGCTCGAGGCTCACTACCCAATCTCCAAGCCAAATAACAGACTGTCTTAAGTCATTAATTTGATTTGCCAATTTTTGATCAATACCTTGTTGAGCATTCCACATTTGGGTGGAATTGGCTTCCCAATCGTTAACAAAACGAGCCGTTTGAATGGACTGGTGTAATGCCATTCTGGCAGTGGTGGCCATTAATGTGACTGTAATTAGGCCCATGATAACAGCAATTAAAGTGAGAACAAATCTCTTAGATCTTTTTAGAATTCACTGTAGCACTTCATTAATTAAATGTATTGAGGGGGAGGATTCCCAAGGTCTGGGCAAGTAAAGCAGAATGTCTGGTTCTACGTTGATACTAAGAGAGTGGGACGGTAGTGGGAATAACAGTCAGAATAGTTTTTCCTTCCCATATTCGCAGTCCAGACATGGCAATAGCCAATTTCCAAAGTTCTGGGAGTTCCGGGCTCAGAATGGGGAGTATCATACGAGGACTGAGGGGGGCGGGTAATGCCTTTATCTTCCCATTTTAAGGGAAAGAATAAGCCAAACCTCCTATGCAAAGTAGAATGATGATTCTTGTTCTCCTGATAAGAAATAAAATAAGTAGCCTCCAGGTATTCCCTTCTGCCAGAGGAGAAATTGTTTTTTAAATAGGCTTTTGGTGCCCAGTCTATTACTAAACCATATGAGTCATTTTTTAATATTACTGCATGTGAGTTAAGACAATCTCCCCAAATTAAAGTTTTAGATGGGCCCTCAAAATTTTTAGGGCACGGTTTTCCTGCAGGTTTATATTGAAAGTATGGGGTATCTCCCATTACTCCTCCTTTCGTTTGTTTTAAAGGAGAAAGGGAGAGGCCAGAGACCATATGTCCCGTTTTATCTGTAGCTGATCTTTCCGGAAGATAAGCAGCCCAGACCTGAGTTTCTAGATGTATGCAACCAGATGCATGTCTGAAGCACAGAAGGTGGTATTTATAGCCCATGGTAACATTAAATGCAGTGCCTTCTTCTCCTGGTTGAGCAGGGCAATGGTCATCTCTGGCTCCAGGCATCCACACACTATCATTAGTGTAGATTTCTGCAGGAGTATCTACCCAGATGAGAAGTCGGAATAAGTGGAGGAAAAGACACATAAGCCCAATAAGAATAATTATGTGTAGCAGGTAAATTAGTGTGAGAGGAAACTGGTGAGACAGAAAGTATAAGGTGGAGAATTATTAAGTAAACACTAGTGTAAGAACGATTGAGTGCTGAAGGAGGAAGAGAAGAACAGAGGGATGTTATTTTCAGGCTAGTAGAAAAGGTGAGACTTTTAGGTTTGTAAGGAGAAAAAGAAAGGTAATGAGGAGAAGTGGGATTGGTTAGATGGGTCTCCATTGCCATCAGGGAGGACTGATTTACACCCATTGTGATTTGGTGTGCCTGTTTCTTAGGAGTCAGCACAGATCTCAACACGTCTGAGGGCAGTCTCTGACACAGACCTATTTTCTCTGTGGTTTTCATTGTCAGTATTCACCCGAAGCTTGAGTCTTCTGGTGGGTACCCAGACAGGGGATTGAAGATCTCCTGGTGAAACACAAGCATATCCTCTTCCCCACGTTATAATTGTGCCAGGTTCCTAGGAATTGGTTTAGGAGTTTTTCCATAACACTGGCTTGCCTTCGTTTAAGGATTTTTTTTGCGTGTATAATGGCATTCGGCTGCAGTTAGAGTATTATCTTTAGAAACATTTAAAAAATTTAAAGTAAACAATGCCAAATGTAATTGGGAGTGGGGAGTAGTTAAATCATGTTTTGGTTGTTCAGACTGTTTGGACAATTGGGTTTTTAAAGTGTGATTGGCCCTTTCCACCACAGCCTGTCCCTGAGGATTGTAAGTGATTCCAGTAATATGGGAAATTCCCCACTGTTTCATAAATGAATCAAAAGCCTTATTAACATATCCAGGGGCATTGTCTGTTTTTATTCGATATGGAAGCCCCATAACTGCAAAGCAAGAATACAGATGTTTCTTAACATGGGTCGTGCCTTACCCTGTTTGGCAAGTAGCCCAGATAAAACCTGAGAAGGTATCTACAGAGACATTCACATATGACAGTCTGCCAAAGGAGCTAACATGACTCACATCCATTTGACATAAAGCTTTAGGAATTAGGCCTCTAGGATTAACGCCAGGTTCCTGATTTGGAAGTACGAAGAACTGGACCTGAGGGCAGCTGTGAAAAATAAGCTTAGCCTGTTTCCAAGTAAGAGCAAATTTATCTTTTAATCCAGCAGCATTGACATGAGTGAGATTATGGAACTCCTGAGCTTCTTGGGTTGTAAAAGAGACCAAACAGTCAACTTTATGGTTACTGGCAGACATGGGTCCTGGTAAAGTGGTATGAGATCTAATATGTGTAATATAGAAAGGGTGTCTACATTGGTGAACCGCCTGTTGTAACCCTGAAAATAAAGAAGCCAAATCAGAATTATCAATATGTTTGACAGTAGCAGTTTTTAAATTTTAGTGGCATGTAAAACATAAGTGGAATCTGAAACAATATTTAAAGGTTTGGGGAAATCCTGTAAGGCAGTAATCACAGCAGTTAGCTCTGCCTTTTGAGCAGAAGTATAAAAGGTAGAAATGTTTGTCTGTAGGACCTATATAGCCAGCATTGCCATTACTGGAGCCATTAGTGAACACTGTAATGGCCTCAGGAATGGGTTGATCTTTGGTTAATCGAGCAACCACCCAAGACGTCATTTTTATAAAATCAAACTATTTGTTTTTCGGATAATGATTGTCAATAATGCCAATAAAATCAGCCAAGTGAATTTCCCACAGTACAGAATGCTGAATTGCAGCTTGAACTTCGAGCTGATTTAAAGGAACTACAATTACATTTGGATCAAATCCAGAAATTTGAAGTATTCTGCACCAAGTCTGTCCAATTAATATGGCTATTTGGTTTAGATAAACAGACAAAGTTTTTGACATAGAATGAGGAAGAAAACTCCACTCCATTAAATCATTATGTTGAACTATTAGTCCAGTAAGGGAGTGTAATGAAGCAAAAACCAGAAGCTGAAAAGACTGGAACGGCTCTACTCTAGATAACTGGGCAGTCTGGATTCTTTCCTCTACGAATTCCAATTCTAGTAAAGCCTCAGGGGTCAAAGTCCTAGCTCTGTGGAGATAGGAATCTCCCCACAGCATAGAGAACAAATTAGACAGCACATAGGTCAGAATGCCTAAAGTAGGTCTTAGATAATTAATGTTACCCAAAAGTTTTTGGAAGTCATTTAAAGTTTTTAAAGAATATCTCCTAATTTGAACTTTTTGAGGTTGAATACATTGTTTATCAACCACCATTCCTAAATATTGAAAAGGAGTGGTCTGTTGAATTTTATCCTGAGCGATGTGTATTCCAGCCTCTGTAACACAGTGGCTCAAAATTTTGTAACAATCGATTAATTCTTTATCAGTGGGGGCAGCAATTAAAATATCATCAATATAATGAAGAATATAGGCCTCGGGAAATTGGGCTCAAACTGGTGAAAGCACTTGTCCAACATAAAGCTGGCAGATTGTAGGGCTATTCAGCATTCCCTGAGGAAGTACTTCCCATTGATAACGAGCTGCAGGCTCCTGATTATTGATACATGGTACAGTAAAAGCAAACTTTTCACAATCCGATTTATGTAAAGCAACATAAAAAAACAATTTTTAAGATCAATAACTATGAGAGGTCAATTTTTAGGTATTAAAGCAGGGGCAGGCATGTCAGGTTGGACAGCCCCCATAGGTTTAATTACAGCATTGCTGGCCCTTAAGTCGGTTACCATCCACCATTTGCCTGATTTCTTTTTTACTAGAAACACAGGAGAATTACAAGGGGAAAGAGAAGGTTCCACATTTCCAAGTTGTAACCTCTCAGAAACCAATTTATTTAAAGCCTCCAGTTTTTCTTTAGAAAGTGGCCAATGCTGAATCCAGACAGGCATGTCAGATTTCCATTGTAAGGGAATAGGATCAGGAGGTGTGGCAGTGGCTGCTACTAAAAAGGATAACCTAAACCAGCCCTGTTTTCTTTTATAGGAACTGGGAGATGTTTAGTAATCCCTTCATGCTTTGGACTGAGACCGAGTCCAGGAACAAACCCCATATTATCCATCATATGCTGACTGGGAGCACTATAAGAGTTATGTGGAATATTAACTTCAGCCACCCATTGTGCCAGTAAATCTCTACCCCAAAGATTAATGGGAATTGGCATGATATAGGGCTGAATTGTACACTTTTGACCATCAGGGCCAGTGCAAGGCAAGATAAATACGCTCTCATAAACTTCGTTGGCCTTTCCAACACCTACTATCCCCATGTTAGCAGGAGGTTTAAACCAAGAGGAAGGCCATAAACTAGAGGAAATAACAGAAACATCAGCAACAGTATCTACTAGGCCCTCAAACTTTCTCCCTTGAATGTGTATGGTGCAAGTGGGCCATTGTTTAGAAATTACATTAATCCAATAAGTGGCCTTTTCACTGCTGGAGCCCATCCCAGGGCCATGTGTCTTATCTCCTTTGTTTAAAATGATATTAGGTAGTAAAAGCAATTGAGCAATTGACTCACTGGCCAGAATGGAAACAGGAACCCTGGCAGACACGATTAATTTAATCTCATCAACAGAATCAGAATTAATGAGACGAGTATGAATGGTTATTCCCTTATCAGACGTGGATGCCCCACCTAAGACCAGCCCCACTGAACCTTGAGGTAAAGGGCCAGTGACCCCCAGGGGGACAATCAAGGGCAAAGAATCAGGAATTAAACTCAGAGGAATAGTACTACAGAGATCAACCACCCCACCTCCTACTGTGGAGGTGGACAAGCATTGTACTGAGACAGAAGGAGAGGATGGGACCCTTTGGTTTGGCTGTAGTTAGATTTGTTTGTGCTGGGGGTTGTGTTGGGACAGCCTGAAGAGGAAACACAATGTTGGTCTGAGCTTGAAGTGTCCATTTGATGTTGGGGCCTGGGACCGGCTCCGGTCCCCATTTCCCTGGTGTTGTGGCAGGAGGTTTCCATCTATATCATACTTAAAGCAGCAAATATTTGCCCAAAGTTTACTTTTATGACAACATGGGCAAACAGTAGGAGCAGCATTTGGCTGTGTTTGTTGAACTGGGGTGGCCATCTGTAAGTTTTTAACAGTGCAATTTTTTTGAATATTACCAAGTTGGCCACAATTATGGCAGGCTCCAAGAGAAGAATTAGTGGGACCAGTTTGCTTGGTGTCCATGACCCGTGCCCACAGAATAGCTTTGTGGGTGTCTTATCCAATGCCTTCACAAGCTTTAATATATGCAGGCAACACCTCGTGATTGGTAAATTTTGTCATTGGACAGAACGCATGGCCATTTTACGTTCATGGTTTACATTTTCAAAAGCTAACATACGAAGGAGAATGCCTTGAGCGTGCTCATCAGAGACAGATTTTTCAACAGCATCTTGTAATTTAGCCAAAAAATCATGGTATAATTCAGTGTGACCTTGTTTAACCATGGTAAAAGAAACAGGAGCTTGGCCTGGAGCACGTAACTTATCCCAAGCTCTCATACACACATTTGTTACTTGTTCTGTGGTAAGGGCATCAAAGTTTAATTGGGCATAAGCATCAGAGAAACTATCAGAGCCTGTGAGCTGAGCCTGAGTAATTGGAATGCCATTACTGCTATTTAGCTGAGCCTGCAAATGGGCCTCCTCTGACCACCAGGTACAAAATTGTAAATGCTGAGATGGAGTTAGAACAGCTTTTGTCAAAAGGTCCCAATCTAAAGGAAGTAAAGTCACCTCAGTAGAAAAAGTCTGTAAAACCATCTTAACATAAGGAGAAGTAGGACCATACTGAGTACAGGCATCCTTAAATTCTTTTAAAAAGGTAAGATTAAGAGGTACATAATGACACATTTGCAACCCTTGGAATTTAGGTGGGTCTAGCATGACCAGATAAGTCCACACATCTAATCCACTTGTTTGTTTGGGGGTATTACGTGTTGCATTGAAGTTTCAAGAGTAGGCATCTGAGACCGAGTCAGCATAGAAGTGACAGGAAAACCCTGTGTAGATAAGGGAAACTGAGTGTGAGAGGGGCTGATTGGAATGAGAGTGTGAGAAAGAGGCATGGGGAGAGCAGAAAGAGTGGAAGTATACTGGTGATTACTGGTGTTCAAGTGTGAAGAAGGGTACAGAGAAGCAGGCTGAGTGGACGGTAAAGTGACTGGTTAAGGAACCAAAACGACAGGAGGGTGAGGGGCTGCAGTGGATGGGGGAGGGCCTGGAGAGTGAGAGGTAAATTGTAGTTTGGTCCTGGAGCCTTTAGCTGATGCCAGAGGTTTGAAGAAAGAAGAATTAGCTTATCTATGGTACTGGGCTGTGTGAGTCACGGCTGCAGGAGTTTCAAGTACTGGCTTTTCGTGAAAAGAAGTAAGATAAGTAGGGGGTAAACTTAACCAGAGTTACCAGAGTTAGACATTGAATTTTCAGCATCGTTAGGTGGGGGAGGAGTAGCTGAAGGGAGAGTCTGATCAGATAATGAAGGCCATGTGGGAGAGGAAGGCTGAGGAAAAGGCAGAGCAACTGAGGAAAAGGCAGAAAACTGTGGCAACTGCCAGAGGTCATGGGATTGGCACGCCACTAAGGTGGCATGCACCAAGGCCCAACCACCCCAACCAGTGATGGGAACTTAATACCCTGCCAAGATGAGTTTCCAGAATTCTGTACCATCACAATCCCTTTCTTTTACATAAATGGTTCCTTTTTCAGGAAACCAAGGACAGAATTTCACCATTGCCTTGAATAGAGTGACCATATTTTCCATAGGCACACAAACGTCACCCTGTTTTAACAGGAGTTTAATATAGTAGAGATAAGCATGATGCTTAGACTCCGCATGACCCATAGTTAACCCAGACCATACACAGACTACTAACCACTCATCAGGGAGTCGAACACGTGTATCTGTGGACCAAGCCAATGACATTTCACTACACCTACCAAAGGGAATCGGGTTTCTTCATGCACTTAGGAAAAAAGAAAGACCACATGGGTGCCAGATATCAGGGAACCTGCCCTGATAATCACGTAGGTTCTTTTCTAATTTCCCTAAGTGTCAGCTGGTTTGAGAAACAAAGGGACAGAGTACAAAATAGAGAAATTTTAAAGCCGGGCATCCGGGGCAGACATCACATGTCGGTAGGTTCCGTGATGCCCCCCAAGCCACAAAACCAGCAAGTTTTTATTAGGGAGTTTCAAAACGGAAGGGAGTGTGTGAATATGTGTGGGACACAGATATAAGGTACTTCACAAGATAATAGAATATCACAAGGCAAGTGGAGGCAGGTGAGATCACAGGACCAGGGAGAAGTTAAAATTGCTAATGAAGTTTTGGGCACCATTGTCACTGATAATATCTTATAAGGAGACAGGGTTTTGAGAGCAACCGGTCTGACCAAAATTTATTAGGTGGGAATTCCCTCTTCCTAATAAGCCTGGGAGTGCTATAGGAGACTGGGTTCTATTTCACCCCTACAGTGTACAGACCACAAAAGACAGCCACTCCCAGGGGGCCAGTTCAGAGACCCACCCCCAGGTGTGCATTCTCTTTCTCAGGGATGTTCCTTGCTGAGAAAAAGAATTCAGTGTTATTTCTCCCATTTGCTTTTGAAAGAAGAGAAATATGGCTCTGTTCTGCCCAGCTCACTGACAGTCAGAGTTTAAGGTTATCTCTCTTGTTTCCCAAACATTGCTGTTAGCCTGTTCTTTTTTTCAAGTGCCCAGATTTCATATTGTTTAAACACACATGCTCTACAATTTGTGCAGTTAACATAATTATCACACAGTTCTGAGGCAACAGACATCTTCCTCAGCTGACAGAATTAAGAGATTAAAGTAAAGACAGGCATAGGAAATCACAAGGATATTGATTGGGGAAGTGATAAGTGTCCATGAAATCTTCACAATTTATGTTTAGAGATTGCAGTAAACACAGGCATAAGAAATTATAAAAGTATTAGTTTGGAGAACTAATAAATGTCCATGAAATCTCCACAATCCATGTTCTTCTGCCATGGCTTCAGCCGGTCCCTCCATTTGGGGTCCCTTACTTCCCACAACAGGAAACTGCTTTGTGATGTGTGCATTCATCTTGCAGAGTTAAAGCTTTCTTTTCATTCAGCAGTTTGGAAATACTGTTTTTGTAGTATCTGCAAAGGGATGTTTGGGAGCCCATTGAGGCCAAAAGTTAAAAAAAATCTTCATATAAAAAGTGGACAGAAGCTTTCCGAAAAAATGCTTTCTGGTGTGTTCATTAACCTCACACAGTTAAGCCTTGTTTTTGATTCAACAATTTTGCAACATCATTTTTCTTCATTCTGTGAATGGACATTTGGGAGTTCATTGAGGTCAATGGCAAAAAAATGAATATCCCAGGATAAAAACTATGAGGAAGTTGTCTGAGAAATCACTTTAAGGAGTTTGCATTCTTCTCACGGAGATAAATCTTTCTTTTCATTCAGCAGTTTTAAAACACTGATTTCGTAGAATCTGTGAAAGGATATTTTGGAGTGAATTGTGGCCTATGGTGATAAAGGAAAGATCTTCAGATAAAAATTAGAATGAAGTTTTCTGAGAAACTGCTTTGAGATGTGTACATTCATCTCACAGAGTTAAACCTTTCTTTTGATGGAGGAGTTTTGTGTAGAATCCGTGTAAGGACATTTGATTGCACATTGAGGTCTATGGGGATAAAGGAAATATCTTCAGAGAAAAACAAGAAAGAAGTTTATGAGAAAATGCTTTGTGATGTGTACATTCATTTCAGAGTTAAACCTTGCTTTTAATTCAGCAGTTTGAGAAATCACTGTTTGTAGAATCTGTGAAGGGGTACTAGAAAGAAGGTTTCTGAAAAAGAGCTTTTTGATGTGTGCACTCATCTCACAGAGTTAAACTTTTCTTTTGATGGAGCAGCTTTGAAACACTATTATTTAGGGCTTGCAAAGGGATATTTTGGAGCACACTGAGGCCTATGGTGAAAAAGGATATATCTTCAGATAAAAACAACCAATAAGCTATCTGAGAAACTTCTTTGTGATGTGTCCATTCACCTCACAGAGTTAAACCTTTCTATTGATTGAGCATTTTGAAAATATTGTTTTTGTAGTATCTGCGAAAGGTTATTTTGGAGGGAATTGAGGTCTATGTTGAAAAAAAATACCTACAGATAAAAACTAGAAATAAGCTTTCTGAGAAACTTCTTTGTGATGTGTGCATTCATCTCACAGATTTAAACCTTTCTTTTGATTGAGCAGTTAGGAAACAATGTTTTTGTAGAATCTGAAATGGGATATTTTGGAGTGCATGGAGGCCTATGGTGAAAAAGGAAATATCTTCAGAGAAAAACTAGAATGAAGCTTTCTGAGAAAATGCTTTTGTTGTGTTCATTGTGATCACAGATTTAAACATTTCTTTCAATGGAGCAATTTGGAAGCACTCTTTTTGTAGAACCTCCGAAGGGATATTTGGGAGTGCATTGAGGCATACGGTGAAAAAAGTAATATTTTCAGAGAAAAACTAGAAAGAAGCTTTCTGAGACACAGCTTTGACTTGTGTGCATTCATCCCCTGAGTTAAACCTTTTTTTTTTTTTGATGGAGCAGTGTTTTGTAGAATCTGCAAAGGGAAGTTTGACAGCACATTGAGGCCTAAGGTGAAAAAGAAAATATCTTCAGATAAAAACCAGAAAGAATCTTTCTGAGAAACTGCTTATTGATGTGTACATTCATCTCACAGAGTTAAACCATACTTTTGATTAAGCAGTTTGGAAACACTGTTTTTGTAGAATCTGCGAAGGGATATTTGGGAGCACATTGAGGCCTATGGTCAAAATGGAAATATCATCAGATAAAAGCTAGAAAGAAGCTTTCTAAGAAACAGCTTTGTGTTGTGTACTTTCATCTCACAGAGTTAAACTTTCTTTTGATGGAGCAGTTTGATAACACTGTATTTGTAGAATCTGCAAAGGGATATTTGGGATTGCATTGTGGCCGATGGTGAAAAATGAAATATCATCAGAGTAAAACCAGAAAGAAGCTTTCTGACAAATTGCTTTGTGATGTATGCATTCATCTCACAGAGTTAAACCCTTCTTTGGATGGAGGATATGGTAAACACTGTTTTTGTAGAATCTGTGGAGGGGTATTTTGGAGTGCATTGAGGCATATGGTGAAAAAGAAAATATCTTCAAATAAACACTAGAAAGAAGCTTTTTGAGAAACTGCTTTGTGATGTATGAATTCATCTCACAGTGTTAAACCTTTATTTTAATTGAACAGTTTCAAAACACTATTTATGAAGAATCTGTGAAGGGATATTTGGGAGTGCACTGAGGCCTATGGTGAGAAAGGAAATATCTTCAGATAAAAACTAGAAAGAAGCTTTCTGTGTAACTGCTTTGTGATGTGTGCATTCATCTCACAGAGTTAAAACTTTCCTTCATTGGAACAGTTTCTAAACATTGTTTTTTCAGAATCTGCAAGGGATATTTGGGAGTACATTGAGGATTTTTGTGAAAAAGGAAATATCTTCAGAGAAAAACTAGAAAGAAGTTTTGTGAGAAACTGCTTTGTGATGTGTACACTCATCTCACAGAGTTTAAAGTATCTTTTAATTAAGTACTTTGGAAACACAGTTTTAAAGAACTGGCAAAGGGCTATTTGGGAGAGTGCTGAGACCTATGGTGAAAAAAGAAATATCTTCAGATAAAAACTAGAAAGAAGCTGTCTAAAACACTGCTTTGTGTTGTGTGCATTCATCTGACAGAGTTAAACCTTTTTTTCATGGAGCAGTTTTTTGTAGGATCTGTGAAGGTATATTTGGGAGTGCACTGAGACCTATAGTGAAAAAGGAAATACCTTCGGAGAAAAACTAGAAAGAAACATTCTGAGTAACTTCTTTGTGATGTTTGCATTAATCTCTCAGAGTTTATCCATCTTTTTGATTGAGCAGTATGGAAACCTTGCATTTGCAGAATCTGTGAAGAGATATTTGGGAGCACATTGAGGCTTATGGTGAAAAATGAAATACCTTCAGAGAAAAGCTAGAAAGAAACCTTCTGAGAAACTTCTTTGTGATGTGTGCATTCATCTCACAGAAGTATAACTTTCTTTTGATTGAGCACTTTGGAACCACTGTTTTTGTAGAGTCTTCAAAGGGATATTTGGGAGCACATTGAGGCCTATGGTGAAAATGAAAACACCTTCAGATAATAATTAGAAAGAAGCTTTCTGAGAAACTGCTTTGTAATGTGGGCATTCACTTCGGATATATAAACTTTTATTTTGATTCAGCAGTTTGGAAACACTGTTATTGTCCATTCTGTGAATGGACATTTTGGAAATCTTTGAGGCCAATGGCAATTAAGTGATTATCATAGGATAAAAACTGGAAGGAATCTAATTGTAAAATGCGATGTGTGCATTCATCTCACAGAGTTAAACAGTTCTTTTCAATCAGAAGTTTGGAAACACTGTTTTTGTAGAATCTGCAAAGGTATATTTGGGAGCACATTGAGACCTATGGTGAAAAAGAAAATATCTTCAGATAGAAACCAGAAAGAAGCTTTCTGAGAAACTGTTTTGTGATGTGTGCATTCATCTCATAGCGTTAAAGATTCCTATTTAGAGGTTTAGAAACACTGTTTTTGTAGAATCTGTGAAGGGATACTGGGGAGTGTATTGAGGTTTATGATGACAAAGGAAATATCTTCAGTTAAAAATTAGAAAGAAGCTTTCTGAGAAACGGCTTTGTGATGTGCACACTCATCTAAGTGAATTTAACTTTTCTTTTGATGCAGCAGTTTGGATGTACTGTTTTTGTAGAATCTGTGAAGGGATATTTGGGAGCACATTGAGGCCTATGGTGAAAAAGGAATTATCTTCAGAGAAAAACTAGAAAGAAGCTTTCTGTGAAATTACTTTATGATGTGTGCTTTCATCTCACAGAGGTAAACCTTGCTTTTAACTGAGCATTTTGGAATCACTGTTTTTTCTAGAATCTGTGAAGGGATATTTGGGAGTGCATTGAGGCCTATGTTGAAAAAGGAAATATCTTCAGATAAAAACTAGAAAGAAGCTTTCTGAGAAATTGCTTTGTGATGTGTGCATTCATCTCACAGAGTAAAAGCATTCTTTTCATTTAGCAGTTTAGAAACACTGTTTTGTAGAATCTGTGAAGGGATATTTGGGAGCACACAGAGCCCTACATGAAAAAGGAAATATCTTCAGAGAAAAACTAGAAGGAAGCTTTCTTAGAAAGTGTTTTGTGATGTATGCCTTCACCTCACAGAGTTAAAGCTTTCTTTTGATTGAGCAGTTTGGAAACACTGTTTTTGTAGAATACACGAAGGGATATTTTGCTGCGCAATGAGGCCTATGTTGAGGAAGTAAATATATGCAGAGAAAAAGTAGAAGGAATCTTTCTGAGAAGCCACTTTGTGATGTGTGCATTCATCTCACAGAGTTAAAGCTTTCTTTGGATTCAGCAGTTTGGAAGAAATGTTTTTGTACAATCTGCTAAGGATATTTTGGAGCGCCTTGAGGTCTATGCTGAAAAATTAAATATTTTCAGATAAAAACTAGAAAGAATCTTTCTTAGATCCTGCTTTCTGATGTACATATTCATCTCAGACAGTTAAACATTTCTTTTCATTGAGCAGCTTGTAAACACTGTTTTTGTGGAATCTGCAAAAGGATATTTGGGAGTGTGTTGAGGCCAATGGTGAAAAAGGGAATATCGCATGATAAAAACTAGGAGGATGCTATCTGAGAAACCGATTTTTGATGTGTGCATTCATCTCGCAGAGTTAAATGTTTCTATTCATTCAGCAGTTTGGAAACATTGTTTTTCTAGAATCTGAGAAGGGATATTTGGGAGTGCATTGAGGCCTATGTTGAAAAAGGAAACATCTTCAGATAAAAATTAGAAAGAAATTTTCTGAGAAACTGCTTGTGATGTGTGCATTCATCTCACAGAATTAAATCTTTCTTTGGATTCAGCAGTTTGGAAACAGTCTTTTCGTCCATTCTGCAAATGCACATTTGGGAGATCATTGAGGCCAATGGTGAAAAAGTGCATAGCCCAGGATACAAACTGTAAGGAAGCTATCTGAGAAACTGCTTTGTGACATGTCCATTCATTGCACACAATGAAAAATTTATTTTCCTTCAGCAGTTTGGAAACACTGTTTCTGAAGTATCTGCTAAGGGGTATTTTGGGGCATATTAGGGCCTATGGTGAAAAAGGTAATATCTTCATATAAAAACCGGAAAGAGGCTTTCTGAGAAACTGCTTTTTGATGTGTGTATTTGACTGACAAAATTAAAACTTTCTTAGGACTCAGGTGTTTGGAAACACTGTTTTTGTCCATTCTGTGAATGGACAATTGGGAGCTCATTGAGGCCAAAGGCAAAAAAGCGAATATCACAGGATAAAAACTAGCAGGAAGGTATCTGAGAAACAAGTTTCTGATGTGTGCATTCACCTCACAGAGTTAAACCTCTCTTTTCATCAGTAGACTGGAAAGTCTGTTTTTGTATATAGTATAAAGGGATAATTTGGAGGAAATTCAGGCCTATGGAGAAAAAGGATGTAACTTCACATAAAAACTAGAAAGAAGCTTTCTGAGAAACTTTTGTGATGAGTGCATTCATTTCTCAGATTTCAACCTTTGTTTGGATTCAGCAGTTTGGAAACAATGTTATTGTCATTTCTGCAACTAGACATTTGGAAACTTGTTGAGGCCTTTGGCACAAAAGAAAATATCACTTGATAAAAACCAGAAGGAAGCTATCTGAGAAACTGCTTTGTGATGTGTGCATTCACCTCACAGAGTTAAGCCTTTCTATTCACTCAGATTTGGAAACTATATTTTAGTAAAATATGTGAAGTGATATCTGGGAGTGCTTGAGGCCTATGGTAAAAAAGGAAACATCTTCAGATAAATACTAGAAGGAAGCTGTCTGAGAAACTGCTTTCTATTTGTGCATTCAACTCACAGAGGTAAACTTTTCTTTGTATTCAGCAGTTTGGAAACAATTGTTTTGTCCATTGCACAAATGCATATTTCAGAACTTATTGAGGCCAATGGCAAAAAAGCAAATATCAAAACATAAAAACTAGAAGGAAGCTATCTTAGAAACCTGTTTGTGATGTGTCAATTGATCTCTCACCATTAAACCTTTGTTTTCATTTGGAAGTTTGGAAACACTTTTTTTGTAGAATCTGGTAAGGGGTATTTGGGAGTACATAGGGGCCAGTGGTGTAAAAGAAAACATCTTCAGATAAAAACTTTCTGAGATAGAAAAAAGCTTTCTGAGATACTACTTTGTGATATGTGTATTCATCACACAGAGTTAAAACTTTTTTTTCATCAGGTAGTTTGGAAACACTGTTTTTGTCCATGCTGTGAATGAACATTTGGGAGCTCATTGAGGCCAATGCCAAAAAAGTGAATATCACAGAATAAAGATTGGAAGGAAGCTCTCTGAGAAAAATCTTGGTAATTTGTGCATTCATCTCGCAGTCTTAAAATTTTCTTTTATTCTGCAGTTTGGAAACACAGTTTTTGTAGAATATGTGCAGGAATATTTGGGAGTGCATTGAGGCCTATGGTATAAAAGGAAAGATCTTCATATAAAAACTAGAATGAAGTTGTTTGAGAAACTGCTTTGTGATGTGTGCATTCATCTCACAGAGTTAAAAGTTGCTTTGGAATCAGCAGTTTGGTAACACTGTTTTTGTCCATTTGCTGAATCAACATTTGGGAACTCATGGAGACCAATGGTGAAGAAGTGAATATCCCATGATAAAAACTAGAAGAAAGCTATCTGAAAAACTGGTTTCTTATGGGTGCATTCATCTCACAGATTTAAACTTTTTCTTGCACTTAGCAGTTTGGAATCACTGGTTTTACAGAATCTGTGAAGGGATATTTGGGAGTGCATTGAGGCCTCTGGTTAAAAAGGAAACATCCTCAGATACAAACTAGAAAGAAGCTGCCTGAGAAACTGCTTTGTGATGTATGCATTCACCTCACAGAGTTAAAACTTCCTTTGGATTCAGCAGTTTGGAAGCAATCTTTTTGTTCTTTCTGCGAATGGACATTTGGGAGCTCATTGAGGCCAATGGTGAATAGCTAATATCCAAGGATAAAAACTAGAAGGAAGCTATCTGAGAAACCACTTTGTGATGTGGGCATTCATCTCAGAGAGTTAAGCCTCTCTTTTCATTCATCAGTTTAGAAACATTGTTTTTGTAGAATCTATGAAGGGATATTTGGGAGTATATTTAGGCATGTGGTGGAAAAGGAAACATCTTCAGAAAAAACTAGAAAGAATCTTTCTGAAAAACTGCTTGTGATGTATGCATTCACCTCACAGAGTTAAAACTTTCGTTTTATTCAGTAGTTTGGAAACACTGTTTATGTCCATTCTGCGAATGGAAATTTTGAAGCTCATTGAGACCAATGATGAAAAAGTGAATATTCCAGGTTAAAAACTAGAAGGAAACTATCTGAGAAACCAGTTTATGATGTGTGCATTCATGTCACAGAGTTAAAACTTCTTTGGATCCAGCAGTTTGGAAACACTGTTTTTGTAGAATCTGCAAAGAAATATTTGGCAGCACTTTGAAGCCTGGGGTGAAAAAGGAAACATCTTTACATAAAAACTAGAAAGAACTTCCCTGAGAAACTGTTTTTTTTTATGTGCATTCATATCACAGAGTTAAAACTTTCTTTGGATTCAGCATTTCGGAATCACTGTTTTTGTCCATTCTGAGAAAGGACGTTTGGGAGCTCATTGGGGCCAATGGTGAAAAAGGGAACATCCCAGGATAAAAACTATAAGGAAGCTATCTGAGAAACTGCTTTGTGATATGTGCATACATCTCACAGAGTTAAACATTTCTTTTCATTCAGCGGTTTGGTAACACTGTTTTTGTAGAATCTATGATATGATATTTGTTAGCACATTTAGGCCTGTGGTGAAAAAGGAAACATCTTCAGACTAGAAAGAAGCTTTCTGAAAAACTACTTTGTGATGTGTGCATTCATATCACAGAGTTAAGCTTTTCTTTTTATTCAGCATGTTGGAAACACTGTTTATGTCCATTCTGTGACTTGACATTTGTGAGCTCATTGAGGCCAGTGGTGAAAAACAAATATTCCAGGATAAAAACTAAAAGGAAGATATCTGAGAAAATGCTTTCTGATGTGTGCATTCATCGTGCTGACTTAAACCTTTCTTTTCATTCATTAGTTTGGAAAAACTGCTTTTTTTCTATCCTGCAAATGAACATTTTGGAGCTCATTGAGGCCAGTGTCGAAAAAATGAATATCCCAGGACAAAAACTAGAAGGAAGCCATCTGAGAAACTGCTTTGTGATGTATGCATTCATCTCACAGTGTTAACCATCTCCTTTCATTCAGAATGTTGGAAACCCTGTTTTTGTAGAACCTGTGAAGGTATATTAGGGATGGCATTGAGGTCTATGGTGAAAAAGAAAATATCTTCAGATAAAAACTAGAAAGAAGCTTTCAGAGAAAATGCCTTGTGATGTGTGTATTCATATCACAGGGTTCAAAATGAATATCCGAGAATTAAAGCCAGAAGGAAGCTATCTGATAAACTGCTTTGTGATGTTTGCATTCATCTTGCAGAGTGAAAACTTTCTTTTCATTCAGCAGTTCAGAAACACTGTTTTTGTAGAATCTGTGAAGTAATATTTGGGAGCCCCTTGAGGCCTATGGTGAAAAAGGAAACATCTTCAGAAAAAAATTAGAATGAAGCTTTCTGAGAACCTGCTTTGTGATGTGGGCATTCATCTCACACTGTTAAAACTTTCTTTGGATTCAGCAGGTTGAAAAAAACTGTTTTTGTCCATTCTGCGAGTTGACATTTGGGAGCTCATTGAGCCCAATGGCAAAAAAGGGAGTATCTTAGGATATAGAGTAGAAAAACCTTTCAGAGAAAGTACCTTGTGATGTGTGCATTCATCTTCCAGAGTTAAAACTTTCTTTGGATTCAGCCATTGGATAACACTGTGTTTGTCCATTCTGCAAATGGACCTGTGGGAGCTCACTGAGCCAATGATGAAAAAGCAAATACATAAAGGAAACCAAGAAGGAAGCTATCTGAGAAATGGCTTTGTTATGTGTGCATTGATCTCACAGACTTAAACCTTACTTTTCATTCAGCAGTTTGTAAACACTGTTTTTGCAGAATTTGTGAAGGGATATTTGGGAGCACATTGAAGCACCTGGTGAAAAAGGAAACATCTTCAGATAAAAACTAGACAGGAGCGTTCTGAGAAACTGCTTTGTGATATGTGCATTCATCTCACAGAGTTAAACCTTTCATTTTATTCAGAAGTTTGGAAACACTGTTTTAGTCCATTGTGCAAAAGGACATTTGGGAGCTCATTGAGGCCAATGGTGAAAAAGTGAATATCCCAGGAAAACTAGAAGTAAGCTATCTGAGAAACCTCTTTGTTATTTGTGCATTCACCTTGCAGAGTTAACTTTTGTTTTCATTCAGCGGTTTGGAAACACTGTTTATTATAATCTGTGAATGGTTATTTGGGAGGGCATTGAGGCCTGTGGTGAAAAAAGAAACTTCTGCAGATAAAAAGTAAAAGCAACTTTCTGAGAAACTGCTTTGTGATGGGTGCATTTATATCACAGAGTTAAACATTTCTTTGGATTCAGAAGTTTGGAAAAGCTGTTTTTTTTCCGTTCTGCAAATGGACATTTGGGAGCTCATTGTGGCCAACTGTGAAAAAGTGAATATCCAAGGATAAAATCTAGAAGGAAGCTATCTAATAAACCGATTTGTGATGTGTGCATTCATCTCACACAGTTAAACCTTTCTTTTCATTCAGCAGTTTGGATACGCTGTTTTTGTAGAACCTGCGAAGGGATATTTGGGATCTAATTGAGGCCTATAGTGAAAAAGGAAACATCTTCAGATAAAAATGAGAAACAAGCTTTCTGAGAAACTGGTTTATGATGTGTGCCTTCCTGTAACAGAACTAAACCTTTCTTTGATTCATAAGTTTGTAAACACGGTTTTGTACATTGTGGAATTGACATTTGGGAGTTCATTGACGTGAGTGGTGAAAAAGCGAATTTCCCAGGATAATAACTAAATGGAAGCTATCTGAGAAACCACTTTTTGATGTGTGCATTCATGTCACAGAGTTTAACCTTTCCTTTCATTCAGAAGTTTGGAAACACTGTTCTGGTCTATTATTCAAATGGACATTTTGGAGCTCTTTGAGGCAATTGACAAAAAAGTGGATATCTCAGTATTAAAACTAGAAGGAAGCCATTGGAGAAGGCACTTTGTGTTGTGTGCATTCATCTCACAGACTTAAATGTCTTCTCATTCAGCAGATTGGAAATGCTGTTTTTGCAGGATCTGAGAAGGGATGTTTGGGAGTACATTGAGGCTTGTGGGGAAAAAATAAACCTCTTCAGAAAAACTAGAAAGGAGCTTCATGAGAAACTGTTTGTGATGTGTGCATTCATCTCACACAATTAAAACTTTCTTTGGATTCCACGGTTTGAGAACACTCTTTTTGTCCATAATGAAAATGGACATGTGGGAGCTCATTTAAGCCAATGGTGAAACAGCAAATATCCAAGGAAAAACTAGAAGGAAGCTATCTGAGAAACTGCTTTGTTATGTGTGCATTCATCTCACAGAGTTAAACCTTACTTTTCATTAAGCGGTTGGAAACAATGTTTTTGCAGAATTTGTGAAGGAATACTTGGGAGCACATTGAGGTATGTGCTGAAAAAGGAAATATCTTCAGATTAAAAACGAGAAAGAGGCTTTCTGAGAAACTGCTTTGTGATGTGTGCATTCATCTCACAGAGTTAAACCTTTCATTTTATTCAGTAGTTTGGAAACACTGTTTTTTTTTCCATTCTGCAAATGGACATTTGGGAGCTCATTGAGGCCAATGGTGATAAAGTGAATAACCCAGGATAAAAACTAGATGGAAGCTATCAGAGAAAACACCTTTTGATGTGTGCATTCATATATGAAAGTTAAACCTCTTATCATTCAGCAGTTTGGAAACACTGTTTTTGTCCATTCTAAAAATGGACAATTTAGACCTCTTTGAGGCTAAGGGTAAAAAAGTGAATATCCCAGAATAAATACTAGAGGAAAGCTATCTGAGAAACAGATTTGTGATGTGTGCGCTCATCTCACAGAATTAAAACTTTCTTTTCACTCAGCAGTTTGGAAACACTGTTTTTGTAGAATTTCCAAGGGATATTTGGGAGCACATTGAGACACGTGGTGAAAAAGGAAACATCTTCAGACAAACACTGGAAAGAAGCTTTCTGAGAAACCACTTTTTCGTGTGTGCATTTATATCACAGAGTTAAAACTTTATTTGTATTCAGCAGTTTGGAAACACTGTTTTTGTCCATTCTGTGAGTTGACATTTGGGAGTTCATTGAGGACAATGGTGAAACAGGGAATATCCCAGGAAAAAAACTACAAGGAAGCTGTGGGAGAAACTGCTTTGTGATACATGCATTCATCTCACAGAGTTAAAGATTTCTTTTCATTCAGCACCTTGGAAAAACTGCTTTTGTAGAATCTGTGTTGGGATATTAGTTAGTGCGTTGACGCTTATGGTGGAAAAGGAAACATATTCAGACTAGAAAGAAGCTTTCTGAGAAATTGCTTTGTGATGTGTGCATTCATCTCACAGAGTTAAACATTCTTTTTATTCAGAATTTTGGAAACACTCCTTTTTGTCCATTCTGCGAATGGACATTTGGGAACTCATTGAAGCCAATGACAAAAAAGTGAATATCCCAGGATAAAAACTAGAAGGAAGCTATCTGAGAAACTGCTTTGTGATGCATGCATTCATCTCACAGAGTTAAACCTTTGTTTTCATTCAGGAGTTTGGAAACACTGTTTTGGTAGCAACTGCAAAGGGATGTTTGGGATTGTGTTGAGGCTTATGGTGAAAAGCATACAGCTCAGATAAAAACTAGAAAGAATCTTTCTGTCAAACTGCTTTATGACGTGTGCATTCATCTCACAGAGTCAAACCTCTCTTTGTATTCAGCAGCTTGGAAACACTGTTTTTCTCTATTATGTAAAAGGACATTTTTGAGCTCATTGAGGCCAACGGCAAAATAGCAAATATCCAAGGATAAAAACTAGAAGGAAGCTGTCTGAGAAACAGTTTTGTGATGTATGAATTCATCTCACAGAGCTAAAACTTTATTTTAATTCAGCAGTTTGGAAACACTGTTTTTTTTATTATACTTTAAGTTTTAGGGTACATGTGCACATTGTGCAGGTTAGTTACATATGTATACATGTGCCATGCTGGTGTGCTGCCCCCACTAACTCATCATCTAGCATTAGGTATATCTCCCAATGCTATCCCTCCCCCCACCCCACAACAGTCCCCAGAGTGTGGTATTCCCCTGCCTGTGTCCGTGTGATCTCATTGTTCAATTGGATTAAGAAAATGTGGAAACACTGTTTTTGTAGAATCTGTGAGGGATATTTTGGAGCACATTGAGGCTTATGGTGAAAAAGGAAAATTCTTCACATAAAAACTATAAAGAAGTTTTCTGAGAAACTACTTTATGATGTGTGCATTCATCTCACAGGGTTAAAGTTTCTTTGGAGTCAGTAGTTTGGAAACACTGTTTTTGTAAATTCTGTGAATGGACATTTGGAAACTCATTGAGGCCAAAGGGGAAAAACTGAATATCCCAGGATAAAAACTAGAAGGAGTCTGGCAGAGAAACCATTTTCTGATGTGTGCATTCATCCCACAGAATTAAACCTTTCCTTTTATTAAGCAGTTTGGAAACACTGTTTTTGAAGAATCTGCAAAGGAATATTTGGGAACGTATTGAGGCATATGGCGACAAAAGATACATCTTCATATTAAAACTAGAAAGAAGCTTCCTGACTAACTGCTTTGCGATGTGTGCATACATCTCACACAGTTAAATCTTTCTTTGGATTCACCAGTATGGAAACAATGTTTTCGTCCATTCTGTGAATGGATCTTTGGGAGCTCATTGAGGCCAGTGGCAAAAAAACAAATATCCAAGGATAAAAACTAGAAGGAAACTATCTGAGAAACCACTTAGTGATGTCTGCATTTATCTCACAGAGTTAAACTTTTCTTTTCATTCAGCAGTTTGGAAACACTGTTTTCATAGAATCATCAAAGGGATATTTGTGAGTGCCTTGAGGCAAATGGTGAAAAAGGAAACACCTTCAGATGAAAACTAGAAAGAAGCTTTCTGAGAAACTGCTTTGTGATGTGTGCATTCATCTCACAGTTAAATAATTCTTTTGATTCTGCAGTTTGGAAACACTGCTTTTGTCCATTCTGCTAATGGACTTTTGAGAGCTCATTGAGGCCAATGGTTAAAAAGCGAATATCCCAGAATAAAAACTCAAAGGAAGATATCTGAGAAACCGCTTTGTGACGTATGCATTCACCTCACAGAATTAAACGTTTGTTTACATTAAACAGTTTGGAAACAGTGTTTTTTTAGAATTTGTGAAGTCATATTTGGGAGCATATTGAGGCTTATCATGAAAAAGTAAACATTTTCAGATAAAAACTGTAAAGAAGTTTTCTGAGAAACTGCTTTCTGATGTGTGTATTCATCTCATGGAGTTAAACGTTTCTTTGGATTCAGCAGTTTGGAAACACTATTTTTGTCCATTCTACAAATGGATATTTGGGAGCTCATTGAGGCCAATGGCAAAAAAGAGAATATCCCAGGACAAAAACTAGAAGGAAGCTATCTGAAAACCCGCTTTGTGATGTGTCCATTCATCTCACAGAGTTAAACCTCTCTTTTCAATCAGCAGTTTGGAAACACTTTTTGTATAATCTGTGAAGGGATATTTGGGAGCAGATTCATGCCTGTATTGAAAAAGAAAAAAATTTTCAGATAAAAACTAGAAAGAAATTTTCTAAGAAGTTGCTTTGTGATGTATGCATTCATTGCACAAAATTAAACCTTTTTTTTGATTCAGCAGTTTGTAAACACTGTTTTTGTCCATTCTGCAAATGGATATTTAGGACCTCGTTGAGACCAATTTTGATAAAGCAAATATACCAGGATTAAAAACTAGAAGGAAACACTCTGAGAAACTGCATTCTGATGTGTGCATTCATATCACAAAATTATACCTTTCTTGTCATTCAAAAATTTTGAAGCACTCTTTTTGTAGCATCTGCCAAAGGATATTTGGGAGCACATTGAGACTTATCGTGAAAAAGGAAATATCTTCAGATAAAAACTAGAAGGAAGATTTCTGAGAAACTGATCTGTGATACGTTTATTCATTTCTCAGAGTTAAATCTTTCCTTGCATTCAGCAGTTTTGAAACACTGTTTTTCTCCATTCTGCGAATGGACATTTTGGAGCTCATTTAAGCCAAAGTCTAAAAAGCAAGTATCCCAGGATATAAATAAGAAGGAAGTGATCTGAGAATCCACTTTGTGAAGTGTACATTCATCACACAGTGTTAAACTTTATTTTCATTCAGCAATTTGGAAACACTGTTTTTGTAGAATCTGTGAAGTGATATTTTGGAGCACATTGATGCCTATGGTGAAAAAGGAAACATCTTCAGGTAAAATCAAGAAAGATGTTTTCTGAGAAACTGCTTTGTGATATTTGCATTCATCTCATAGTTAAATATTTCTTTGGATTCTGCAGTTTGGCAACACTGTTTTTGTCCATTCTGCGAATGGACGTTTTGGAGCTCATTGAGGCCAAAGGCGAAAAAGCGAATATCCCAGGTTAAAAAACTAGAAGGAAGCTTCTGGGAAACCACTTAGTGATGTCTGCATTCATATCACAGAGTTAAACCTTTTCTTCCATTCAGCAGTTTGGACACACTGTCTTTGTAGAATCTGTGAAGGTATATTTGGGAGCACAATAAGGTCTAAAGTGAAAAAGGAAACAACTTCAGATAAACACAAGTAAGAAACTTTCTGGGAAACTGCTTTGTGACGAGTGCTTTTATCTCATAGTTAAACATTTCTTTCAATTCTGCAGTTTGGAAACACTGTTTTTGTCCATTCAGTGAATGGTCATTTGGGGGCTAATTGAGGCCAATGGTTTAAAAGCAAATATCCCAGGATAAAATCTGGAAGGAAGCTCTCAGATAAACCGCTTTGTGATGTGTTCATTCATCTCACTGAGTTAAAACTTTCTTTTCCTTCAGCTGTTTGGAAAAACTGGTTTTTTTTAGAATCTGTGAAGGGATATTTAGCATTGCACTGAGGCCTAAGCTCAAGAAGGAAACATCTTTAGATAAAAACTAGAAAGAAACATTATGAGAAACTGCTTTGTGACGTGTGCATTCATCTCATAGAGTTAAACCTTTCTTTGGTTTCAGCAGTTTGGAAACACTGCTTTTGTTCATTCTGCAAATGGACATTTTGGAGCTCTTTGATTCCAATGGCAAAAAGAGCAAATATCCCAGGATAAAAACTAGAAGGGAGCTATCTGAGAAAACGCTTTGTGATGTGTGCATTCTTCTCACAGAGGTAAATCTATTTTTTCATTCAGGAGTTTGCAAACAATCTTTTTGTAGAATCTGCAAAGGGACATTTGGGAGCACATTGAAGCCCATGGTGAAAAAGTAAACATCTTCAGCTAAAAACTAGAAAGAATGTTTCTGAGAAACTGCTTTGTGATCTGTGCATTCACCTCACAGAGTTAAAACTTTCTTTGGATTCAGCAGTTTGGCAAGTCTTTTTGTCCATTCTGTGAATGGACATTTCTGAGCTCAATGAGGCCAATGGCAAGAAAGCAAATATACCAGTATAAAAACTAGAAGGAAGCTATTTGTGAAACTGCTTTGTGTTGGGTGCATTCATCTCACAGAGGATAACCTTTCTTTTCTTTCAGCAGTTTGGAAACACTGTTTTTGTAGAATCTGTGAAGGGAAAATGGGAGTTCCTTGAGGCCTATGGTGAAAAAGCAAACATCTTTAGATAAAAACGAGAAAGAAGCTTTCTGAGAAACTACTTTGCTATGTGTGCATTCATTTCACAGAGTTAAACGTTTCTGTGGATTCCGCAGTTTGGAAGCACTGTTTTTGTAGAATCTGTGAAGGGACATTTTGAAGTGCATTGGGGCCTATGGTGAAATGGAAACATCTTCAGATAAAAACAAGAAAGAAGCTTTCTGAGAAACTACTTTGTGATGTGTGCATTCATCTCACAGAGATAAACATTTATTTGGATTCAGCAGTTTGCAAACACTGTTTTTGGCCATTCTGCAGATGGACTTTTTGTAGCTCATTAAGGCAAATGGCAAAAAAGTGAATATCCCAGGATAAAAACTAGAAGGGAGCTATGTGAGAAACTGCTTCGTGTTGTATGCATTCATTTCACAGAGTTAAATCTTCATTTTCATTCAGCTCCTTGGAAACACTGTTTTTGTCATATCTGTGAAAGGACATTTGGGAGGGCATAGAGGCTTATGGTAAAAAAGAAAACATCTTCAGACAAAAACTAGAAGGAAGCTATCTGAGAAGCCACTTTGTGAAGTGTGCATTCATCTTGCTGAATTAAATTTTTCTTTCATTCAGCAATTTGAAAACACTGTTTTTGTAGAATCTGTGAAGGTTTATTTGGGAGCTCATTGAGGCTTATGGTGAAAAAGGAAACTTCTTCAGATAAAAATGAGAAAGAAGCTTTCTGAGAAACTCGTTTGTGATGTGTGCATTCGTCTCAAAGAGTTTAACGTTTCTTTAGATTCAGCAGTTTGGAAGCACCCTTTTTGTCCATTCTGCAAAGGACATTGGAAGCTCATTGAAGACAATGGCAAAAAAAAAGAATATCCCAGGATAAAAACTAGTAGGAAGCAAACTGAGAAACCGCTTTATGATGTGTGCATTCATCTCATAGAGTTAAACCTTTCTTTTCATTCAGCAGTTTGAAAACCCTCTTGTGAAATCTGTGAAGGGATATTTGGGAATGCACTGAGGCCTATGGTGATAAAGGAAACAACTTCAGATAAAAACAAGAAAGAAGCTTCCTGAGAAACTTACTTGTGATGTGTGCATTCAACTCAAAGAGTTAAACCTTTCTTTTTATTCAGAAGTTTGAAAACACTATTTTTGTTGATTTGCAGAATGGACAGTTGGGAGCCCGTTGAGGACAAAGTCAAAAAGCATATATCTAAGATTAAAAACTAGAAGGAAGGTTTCTGAGAATCCGCTTTGGGATGTGAGTATTCACCTCACAGAGTTAAAGTTTTCTTTATATTCAGGAATTTGGTAACACTGTTTTTGTCCATTGTGTGAATGGACACTTGGGAGCATCTTGAGGCCAAAGGTGAAAAATTGAATATCGCAGGAAAAAAACTAGAAGGAAGCTATCTGAGAAACCAATTTGAGATGTGTGCATTCATTTCACAGAATTAAATCTTTCTTTTCATTCAGCATTTTAGAAACACTGTTTTTGCCCATTCTGTGAATGGACTTTTGGGAGCTCACTGAGACCTATGGTAAAGAAGGAAACAACTTCAGAGAGAAACTAGAAAGAAGCCCTCTGAGAAACTATTTGGGAAGTGTGTATTCATCTCAGAGTTAAACCTTTCTTTTGATACAACGGTTAGGAAACACTATTTTTTCCATTCCACAAATGGACATTTGGGAGCTCTTTGAGGCCAATGGTTGAAAAGTGAATATCCCAGGATAAAAGCTAGAAGGAAGCCATCTGAGAAACCACTTTGAGATGTGTGCATTCTTCTCACAGAGTTGAACCTTTTTTTTTCATTCAGCAGTTTGGAAAAACTACTTTTGTAGAATCTGCAAAAGGATACTTTGGAGCATTTCGGGGCCTATGGTGAAAAAGGAAACATCTTCAGATAAAAACTAGAAGGAAACTTTCTGAGAAACTGCTTTGTGATGTGTGCATTCATCTCACAGAGTTAAAACTTTCTTTGGAATCAGCAGTTTGGAAAATCTCCTTTTGATCATTGTGTGAATGGACATTCGGAGCTCATTGAGGCCAAGGCAAAAAAGTGAATATCCCAGGATAAAAACTAGAAGAAGCAATCTGAGAAACTGCTTTATGTTGTGTGCATTCATCTCACAGAGTTAAACTTTTCTTTTCACTCAGCAGTTTGGAAACAGTGTTTTTGTAGAATTTGCAAAGGGATATTTGGGAGTGCATTGATGCTCACGTTGAAATAGGAAACATCTTCAGATAAAAACTAGAAAGAGGCTCTCTGAGAAAATACATTGGGGTGTGTGAATTTATCTTGCAGATTTAAACCTTTCTTTTCATTCAGCAGTTTGGAAACACTCTTTTTGTACAATCTGCACAGGGATATTTTGGAGCGCATTGAGGCCTATGGTGAAAAAGGAAATATCTTCAGACAAAAACTAGAAAGAACGTTTCTGAGAAATGGCTTTCTGATATGTACATTCATCTCACAGAGTTAATACTTTCTTTGGATTCACCAGTTTGGAAACACTGTTTTTGTCCATTCTGTGAATGGACATTTTGGAGCTCATTGATGCCAAAGGCAAAAATGGGAATATCCCAAGATAAAAAAATACAAGGAAGCTGTATGAGAAACTGCTTTGTGACTTGTGCACTGATCTCACAGAATTAAAACCTACCTTTCATTCATCAGTTTGGAAGCACTGTTTTTGTAGGATCAATGAAGGGAAATTTTAGAGTGCTTAGAGGCTTATAGTGAAAAGGAAACATGTTCTGATGAAAACTAGAAAGAAGCTTTCTGAGAAACTGCTTTGTGATGTGTGCATTCATTTCAAATAGTTAAAACTTTATTTTTTCAGCAGTTTGGAAACATTATTTTCATCCATTCTGAAAATTACATTTGGGAGCTCATTTACACCAATGGCAAAAAAGCAAATATTCCAGGATAAAAACTAGAAGGAAGCTCTCTGAGAAACCACTTTGTGATGTGTGCATTCATCAATCAAAATTAAATCATTCTTTGGATTCAGCAGTTTGGAAAATCTCTTTTTGTAGAATCTGTGAAAGGATGTTTGGGACCATATTGTGGCCTACAGTGAAAAAGGAAACATCTTCAGATAAAAATTAGAAAGGAGCTTTCTGAGAATCTGCTTTGCCATATGTGGATTCATCTCAAAAAAACAAATCTTCTTAGGATTCAGCAGTTTGGGAACACTGTTTTTGTCCATCCTGCATATGGACATTTGTGAGCTCATTGAGGGCAGTGGTGAAAAATCCTATATCCCAGGATGAAAAATAGAAGGAAATCCTCTGTGAAACTGCTTCATGATGTGTGCATTCATCTCACAGAGATAAACATTTCTTTTCATTCAGCAGTTTAGAAACAATGTCTTTTTAGAATCTGCAAAGGGATATTTGGGAGCATGTGGAGGCCTATTTTGGAAAAGGAAATATCTTCAGAAAAATTAATAAAGAAGCTCTGAGAAACTGCTTTGTGATCTGTGCATTCATTACACAGAAATAAACCCTCCATTAGATTCAGCAGTTTGGAACATACCTGTCCATTCTGCAAATGGATATTTGTGAGCTCATTGAAGCCAAAGGTGAAAAGATGAATATCCCAGATAAAAACTGGAAGGAGTCACTGAAAAACTGCTTTTTGATGTGGGCATTCATCATGCAGAGTTAAAACTTTCTTTTCATTTAACAGTTTGGAAACCCTGTTTTTTTAGAATCTGCGAATGAATGTTTGGGAGCACAAGGCGGCCTATGATGTAAAAAGAATATCTTCATATAAAAATTTGAAAGAAGCTTTCTCAGAAACTACTTTGTGTTGTGTGCATTCATCTCACAGAGTTAAACATTTCTTTGGATTCAGCAGTTTGGAATCTCTCTTTTTGTGCATTCTGTGAATGGACATTTGGGAGCTCATTGAGAAAAACGGCAAAAAAGCAAATATCACAGGATGAAAATAGAAGAAAGCTCTCTGAGGAACTGCTTTGTGATGTGTGCATTCATCGTGCAGAGATAAACATTTATTTTAATTCAGCAGTTTGGATTTGCTGCTTTTGTAGAATCTGTGAAGGTATATTTGGGAGCACATTGGGGCCTATGGTTAAAAAGGAAACACCTTCAGATAAAAAACTAGAAAGAAGCTTCCTGGGAAACTGCTTTGTGATGTGTGCATTCATCTCTCAGAACTAAATTTTCTTTCGATTCAGCAGATTGGACAATCTCTTTTTGTCCATTCTGCACATGGACATTTGGGAGCTCATTGAAGCCAATTGGGAAAAGTGAATATCCCAGGATAAAAACTAGGAGAAAGCAATCTGAGAAACTGCCTTGTGATGTGTGCAGTCATCTCACAGAGTTATACCTTTCTTTTCACTCAGCAGTTTGGAAAAAATGTTTTTGTAGAATTTGTGAAGGGGTATTTGGGAACGCATTGAGGCTCATGCTGACATAGGAAACATCTTCAGATAAAAACTAGAAAGAAGCTCTCTGAGAAAATGCTTTGGGATGTGTACATTTATCTCGCAGATTTAAACCTTTCTTTTCATTCAGCAGTTTGGAAACACTCTTTTTGTACAGTCTGTGCAGGGTATTTTGGAGCGCATTGAGGTCTATGGTGAAAAAGGAAATATCTTCAGATAAAAACTAGAAGGAACCTTTCTGAGAAATGGCTATGTGATATGTGCACTCATCTCACAGAGTTAAAACTTTCTTTGGATTCAGCAGTTTGGAAACACTGTTTTTGTCCATTCTGTGAATAGACATTTTGGAGCTCATTGATGCCAAAGGCAAAAATGGGAATATCCCAAGAGAAAAAATACAAGGAAGCTGTCTGACAAACTGCTCTGTGATGTGTGCACTCATCTCTCAGAATTAAGTCTTTCATTTCATTCAGCAGTTTGGAAACACTGTTTTTGTAGGATCTCTGAAGGGAAATTTTAGAGCACTTAGAGGGCTATGGTGAAAAAGGAAACATCTTCTGATGAAAACTGGAAAGAAGCTTTCTGAGAAACTGCTTTGTGATGTGTGCATTCATTTCAAATTGCTAAAACTTTCTTTTTTCAGCAGTTTGGAAACATTATCTTTGTCCATTCTGAAAATTACATTTGGGAGCTCATTGAGGCTAAAGGCGAAAAAGCGAATATCCCAGCATAAAAACTAGAAGGAAGCTCTCTGAGAAACCACTTTGTGATATGTGCATTCACCACTCAAAATTAAACCATTTTTGGATTCAGCAGTTTCGAAAAACTCCTTTTGTAGAGTCTGCAAAGGGATATTTGGGACCGTATTGTGGCCTACAGTGAAAAAGGCAACATCCTCAGATAAAAACTGGAAAGAAGCTTTCTGAGAACCTGCTTTGTCATATGTGCATTCATCTCAAAGAAATAAATCGTTCTTAGGATTCAGCAGTTTGGAAACAGTTTTTGTTCATCTGGTGAATGGACATTTGTGAGCTCATTGAGGCCAATGGTGAAAAATCGAATATCCCAGAATAAAAAATAGAAGGAAGCCCTCTGTGAAACCACTTCATGATGTGTGCATTCATCTCACAGAGATAAACCTTTCTTTTCATTCAGCAGTTTGGAAAAACTGTTTTTGACCTTTCTGGGAATGGACATTTGGGAGCTCATTGAGGCCAATGGCAAAAAAGCAAATATCCCAGGATAAAAACTTGAAGGAAGCTCTCTGAGGATCCGCTTTGTGATGTGTGCATTCATCTTGCAGAGTCAAACCTTTATTTTAATTCAGCAGTTTGGAATCACTGCTTTTGTAGAATCTGTGAAGGGATATTTGGGAGTGCACTGGGGCCTATGGTGAATAAAGGAAACACCTTCAGATAAAAACTAGAAAGAAATTTTCTGAGAAACTGCTTTGTGATCTGTGCATTCAACTTTTAGAGCTAAACCTTTCTTTGGATTCAGCAGATTGGAAAATCTTTTTTTGTCCATTGTGCGCATGGAGATTTGGGAGCTCATTTCACCAAATGGGAGAAAGTGAATATCCCAGGATAAAAACTAGAAGGAAGCTATCTGAGAAACTGCTTTGTGATGTGTGCATTCATCTCACAGAGTTAAACCATTCTTTTAATTCAGCAGTTTGGAATCACTCTTTTTGTAGAATCTGCAAAAGGATATTTTGGAGCACTTTGGGGTCTATGGAGAAAAAGGAAACATGTTCAGATAAAACTAGAAAGAACATTTCTGAAAAACTGCTTTGTGATGTGTGCATTCATCTCACAGAGTTAAACCTTTCCTTTTAATTCAGCAGTTTGGAAACACTGTTTTTGTTCATTCTGCCAATGGACATTTGTGTGCTCACTGAGGCCAAAGGCTAAACAGTGAAAATCCCAGCATAAAAACCAGAGGCATTACAATGAGAAACTGCTTTGTGATGTGTGCATCCATCTCATGGAGTTAAAACTTTCCTTTCTTTCAACAGTTTAGAAAAACTGTTTTTGTAGAATCTGCAAAGGGATATTTGGGAACTCTTTGAAGCCTGTCATAAAAAAGCAAACTTCTTCAGATAAAAAATAGAAAGAAGCTTTCTGAGAAACAGATTTGTGATGTGTAAATTCACCTCACAGTGTTAAACCTTTCTGGGGATTCAGTAGCTTTGAAACACTGTTTTTGTAGAATCTGTGAAGGGATATTTGGGAGTGCATTGAGGCCAATGGCAAAAAAAAAAAACCAATATTCCAGGATAAAAACAAGAAGGAAGCTCTCTGAGAAACCCCTTTGTGATGTGGGCATTCACCTCAGAAAGTTAAAACTTTCTTTTCATTTAGCAGTTTGGAAACACTGTTTTTGTCCATTCTGTGAAAGGACATTTGGGAGATCATGGAAACCAATGGCAAAAAAGGGAATATTGCATGATAAAAAAAGGAAGTAAACTATCTGAGAAACCACTTTGTGAAGAGTGCATTCATCTAACAGAGATAAACCTTTCTTTTCATAGAGCAGTTTGGAGGCAATTTTTTGGTGGAATCTGCAATGGGAAATTTCAGAGTGCATGGAAGCCTATGGTGAAAAAGGAAACTTCTTCAGATAAAAATTGGAAAGAAGCTCTCTGAGAAACTGCATTTTCATGTGTGCATTCATCTCACAGAACTAAACCTTCCTTTGCATTCAACATTTTGGAAACACTGTTTTTTGTTATCTGCGAAGGGATAATTTGGAGCACATTGAGGCCTCCAGTGAAAAAGGAAACATCTTCAGATAAAAACTAGAAAGAAGCATTCTGAGAGACTGCTTGGTGAAGTGTGAATTCACCTCGAAGAAATAAATGTTTCTTTTTAGTCAGCAGTTTGGAAACACTGTTTTTGTCCATTCTGTGAATGGATATTTGGGAGCTCATTGAGGCCAATGGCAAAAAAGCGAATATCCCAGGATAAAGAGTTGAAGGAATCTCCTTGAGAAACCACTTTGTGATGTGTGCATTCACCTTGCAGAGTTAAACCTTTCTTTTCACTCAGTAATTTGGAAGCCCTGTTTTTGTAGAATCTGCAAATGCATAGTTGGGAGCACATTGAGTGCTATGGTGAAAAAGGAAACATATTCAGATAAAAACTAGAAGGAAGCTTTCTGATAAGCTGCTTTGTGATGTGTGCATTCATCTCACAGAACTAAACTTGCCTTTGGATTCAACAGTTTGGAAACAGTCTTTTTGTCCATTCTTCGAACAGACATTTCGGAGCTCATTGAGACCAATGGCAAAAAAGACAATATCATGGAAGAAAACCTAGAAGGAATGTATCTGGGAAACTGTTTTGTGGTTAGTGCATTCTATTCACAGAGGTAAAACATTCTTTTCATTCAGCAGTGTGAAAACACTGTTTTTGTAGAATCTGTGAAGGGATATTTGGCAGCTCATTGCAGGCTATGCTGAAAAAGGAAACAGCTTCAGATGAAATCTAGAAAGAAACTTTCTTAGAAACTGCTTTGTGATGTGTGCATTCATTTCACAGAATTAAACTTTTAATCATTTCAGATCTTTGGAAGCATTATTTTTGTACATTCTGCAAATGGACATTTGGGAGCTCATTGTGGCCAATGGTGTAAAACTGAATATCCCAGGATAAATACTAGAAGGAAGATGTTTGAGAATTGGCTTTGTGATGTGTGAATTCATCTTGGAGATTTGATCCTTTCTTTTCATTGAGCAGCTTTGAAACTGTTTATGTAGAATCTCAAAGGGATCTTTGGGAATACCTTGAGGCTTATGGTGAAAAAGGAAACATCTTCAGATAAAAACAAGAAAGAAGCTTTCTGAGAAATGGCTTTGTGATGTGTGCATTCATCTCACAGAGTTAAACCTTTCTTTCATTCATCAGTTTTGTAAACACTGTTTTTATAGAATCAGTGAAGGGATATTTGGGAGCACCTTGAGGATTTTGGTGAAAAAGGAGACATCTTCAGATAAAAACTGTAAATAAGGTTTCTGAGAAACTACTTTGTGATGTGTGCATTCATTTCACAGATTTAAACGTTTCTTTGGATTCAGAAGTTTGGAAACAATGTTTTTTTCCATTCTGCAAATGGACAATTTGGAGTTCATTGAGGCCATTGACAAAAAAGCAAATATCCCAGGATACAAACTAGTATGAAGCTATCTGAGAAACCACTTTGTTATGTGTGCATTCATCTCACAGAGCTAAACCTTTGCTTTCATTCAGCAGTTTGGAAAAACTGTTTTGTAGAATTTGCAAAGGAGTATTTGGGAGTGCGTTGAGGCCTATGGTTAAAAATGAAACATCTTCAGATGAAAACAAGAAAAAGCTTTCTGAGAAACTGCTTTGTGATGTGTGCATTCATCTCACAGAGTTAAAACATTCCTTGTATTTAGCAGTTTGGAAACACTGTTTTTCTGAATTCTGTGAATGGACTTTTGGGATTACATTGTGGCCAATGGCAAAAACGTGAATATCCCTGGATAAAAAGTAGAAGGAAGCTAGCTGAGAAACCTCATTGTGATGTGTGCATTCATCTCACAGAATTAAACCTTTCTTTTCATTCTGCCATTTGGGAACACTGTTTTTGTAGAAACTGCAAAGGGATACTTGGGAGCGCATTGAGGCCTACAGTTAAAAGGAAACATCACCAGATAAAAACTAAAAATAATCTTTCTGAGAAACTGATTTGTGATGTGTGCATTCACCTCACAGAGTTAAACATTTCTTCTGATTCATCAGTTTGCAAACTCTCTTTTTGTCCATTCTGCGAATGGACATTTGGGAGCTAATTGATGTAAATGGTGAAAAAGCGAATATCCCAGGATAAAAAGTTGAATGAATCTATCTGAGAAACAGCTTGGTGATGTGTGCATTCACCTCCCAGAATTAAACTTTCCTTTCAATCAGCAGCTTGGAAACACTGTTTTTGTGGAATCTGCAAAGGGATATTTGGGAGTGCATTGAGGCCTATGGAAAAAAGGAAACCTCTTCAGATAAAAATTAGAAAGAAGCTTTCCGAGAAACTGCTTTGTGATATGTGCATTCCTCTCACATTTATAAGTTTCTTTGGATTCTGCAGTTTGGAAACACTGTTTTTGTCCATTCTGATAATTGACATTTGGCAGCTCCTTGATGCCAATGGCAAAAAAGCACATATGCTAGGATAAAAACGAGAAAGATGCTATTGAGAAACTGCTTCGTGATGTCTGCATTCATCTCACAGAGTTACACCCTTCTTTTCATTTTGCAGTTTGGAAACACTATTTTGGTAGAATCTGGGAAGGGATATTTGGGAGAACATTGAGGCCTACAGTGAAAAAGGAAATATCTTCAGATAAAAGCTAGGAAGAAGTTTTCTGATAAACTGATTTGTGATGTGTGATTCATCTCATAGATTAAAACCTTCTTTGTGTTCAGTAGTTTGGCAACACTGTTTTTGTTTTTTCTGAGAATGGACATCTGGGAGCTCTTTGAAGCTGATTTCAAAAAAGTGAATATCCCGGGATAAAAACTAGAAAGAATCTATCTGAGAAACAGCTTTGTGATGTGTTCATTCATCTCTCAGAGTTAAACCTTTCTTTCATTGAGCAGTTTGGAAACACTATTTTTGTAGAATCAACGAATGGATATTTCAGAGCAAATTGAGGCCTATAGTGAAAAAGGAAACATCTTCAGATAAAATCTAGAAAGAAACTTCCTCAGAAACTGCTTTGCGATCTGTGCATTCATCTCACAGAGTTAAAACTCCATTGGATTCAGCTTTTTGGACACACTGTGTTTGTCCATTATGCAAAAGGACATTTGGGAGATCATTGAGGCCAATGGCAAAGAAGCCATCTGAAAAACCACTTTGTGATTTGTGTATTCATCTCACAGATTTAATTCTTTCTTTTTTTTTTTTTTAGCAATTCAGAAACACTGTTTTTGTAGAGTCTGTGAAGTAATATTTGGGAGCCCCTTGAGGTCTATGGTGAAAAAGGAAATATCTTCAGATTAAAAGAAGAAAGAAGATTTCTGAGAAACAGCTTTGTGATGTGTGCATTCATCTCACAAACTTAGAAGTTTCCTTGGATTCAGAAGTTTGGAAACACCATTTTTCTCCTTTCTGTGAATGGACAATTGGGAGCTCATTGAGACCAATGTCAAAAAAAAAAAAATATCCTAGGATAAAAACTAGAACGAAGCTATCTGAGAAACTGGTTTGTGATGTGTGCATTCATCTCATGGAATTACAACTTGCTTTTCTTTCAACTGTTTGGAAACACTGTTTTTGCAGAATCTGTGAAGAGATATTTGGGAGCTCATTGAGGCCTATGGTGAAAAAGGAAACATATTCAGTTGAAAAGAAAACAGAAGTTTTCTGAGGAACTGCTTTGTGATATCTGCATTCATCTCACAGGGTTAAAACATCCTTTGAATCAGCAATTCAGAAACACTGTTTTTGTCCATTTATGAATGGACTTTTGGGATCTCACTGAGACCAATGGTGGAAAAGCAAATATCCCAGGTTTAAAACTTGAAGCAAGCTATCTGAGAAAGAGCTTTGTGATGTGTGCAATCATCTCACTGAGATAAATTTTTCTTTTCATTCAGCACTTGGAAACCATGTTTTTGTAGAATCTGGAAGATGTATTTGGGAGAGCATTGAGGCCAATGATGAAAAAGGAAACAGTTTGAAATAAAAACTAGAATGAAGCTTTCAGAGAAATTGTGACGAGTGCATTCATCTCATAGAATAAAACCTTTCTTTGGATTCAGCAGTTTGGAAACACTGTTTTTGTCCATACTGCGAATGGACATTTGGAAACTCATTTGGGCCAGTGGCAAAAAATCGAATAACCCAGGATAAAAACAAGAAGGAAGGTACCTGAGAAAATGCTTTGTCATGTGTGCATTCATCTAGCAGAGTTAAAATATTCCTTGCATTCAGCAGTTCGGAAACACTGTTTTTGTCCATTCTGTGAATGGACATTTGTGATGTCTTTGTGGCCAATGGCAAAAAAGCAAATATCCCCGGATTAAAAGTAGAAGGAAGCTATCTGAGAAACCGCTTTGTGATGTTTGCATTCACCTTGAGTAACTAAACCTTACTTTCCTTTCAGCAGTTTGGAAAAAATATTTTTGTAGAAACTGTGAAGGGATATTTTGGAGAACCTTGAGGCCTACAGTGAAAAAGGAATGATCTTCAGATGAAACATAGAAAGATGCTTTCTGAGAAACTGCTTTGTGATGTGTGCATTCATCTCACAGAGTTGAAACTTCCTTTGGATTCAGCAGTTTGGAAACACGGTATTAGTCCATTCTGCAAATCAACATTTTGGAACTCATTGAGGTCAATGTCAAAAAAGGAAATATCACAGGATAAAAACTAGAAGGAAGCTATCGGAGTAACTGCTTGTGTTGTTTGCATTCATCTTGCTGAGTTAAACTTTTATTTTCATTGAACAGTTTTGAATCACTGTTTTTGAAGAATCTGCAAGGAGGTATTTGTGAGTGCATTGATGCTTATGGTGAAAAAAGAAACATCTTCAGAGAAAAAATAGAAAGAAGCTTTCTGAGAAACTACTTTGTGATTTGTGCATTCATCTCACAGAGATAAACATTTATTTGGATTCAGCAGTTTGGAAATACTCTTTTTGTCCATTCTGTGAATGGACAATTTGGAGCTCATTGAGGCCAATTATGAAAAAGTGAATATTCCAGGATAACAAGAAAGAAGCTATCTGATAAAGAGCTTTGTGATGTGTGCATTCATCTCACAGAGTTAAGCATTTCTTTTCATTCCACACTTTGGAAACAATGTTTCTGTAGAATCTGCAAAGGGATATTTGGGAGCTCTTTGATGCCAAGGAAGAAAAATTGAATCACCAGGATAAAAAATATAAGGAAACTACCAGAGAAGCTGCTTTGTGATATGTGCATTCATCTCACAAGGTTAAACTTTTCTTTTCATTCGGCAGTTTGGAAACACTCTTGTTGTAGAATCTGCAAAGGGATATTTGGGAGTGCATTGAAGCCTATGGTGCAACAGTAAACAACTTTAGATAAAATCTAGAAAGAATCATTCTCAGAAACTGTTTTGTGATGTGTGCATTCATTTTACAGTTAAATCTTTCTTTCAATTCAGCACTTTGGAAACACTGTTTTTGTCCATTCTGCAATTGGACATTTGGGAGGTAATTGAGGCCCATGGTGAATAAGTGAGTATCCCAGTATAAAAACTATAAGGAAGCTATCTGAGAAACAACTTTGTGATGTGTGCCTTCATTTCACTGAGTTAAAACTTTCTTTTCATTCAGTAGTTTGGAAACACAGTTTTTGTAGGATGTGCAAAGGGGTATTTGGGAGTGTATTGAGGCCTATGGTTAAAAAGGAAACATCTTCAGATGAAAACTAGAAGGAAGCTTTCTGAGAAACTACTTTGTGATGTTTGCATTCATCTCACAGAGTCAAACCATTATTTTGATGATGCAGTTTGGAAACACTGCTCTTGTAGAATGTGCGAAGGGACATTTTGGAGAGCATTCAGGCCTATGTTGAAAAAGGAAATATCTTCCAAGAAAAACTAGAAAGAAGCTTTCTGAGAAACTGTTTCTTGATGTGTGCATTCACCTCAAATTTTAAACGTTTCTTTAGATTGAGCAGTTAGGAAACACTGTTTTTGTAGAATCTGCAAAGGGATATTTAGGAGCACATTGAAGCCTATATGGTGAAAAAGGAAATATCTTCAGAGAAAAACTAGAAAGACTCTTTCTGAAAACTGCTTTGTTGTGCATGCATTCATCTCACAGATTTAAACCTTTCTTTTTATGGTAAGGTTTGGGAACACTATTTTTGAAAATCTGTGCAGGCATATTTGGGAGTGAATTCAGACCTCTGCTGAAAAAGGAAATGTCTTCAGAGCAAAAGTAGAAAGAAGCATTCTGAGAAACTGCTTTGTGATGTGTGCATTCATCTCAGAGAGTTAAACTTTTCTTCTGATTGAGCAGTTTGGAAACACTGTTTTTGTAGGAACTGCGACGGGATATCTGGGAGTGCATTGTGGCATATGGTCAAAAAGGAAATATCTTCAGAGAAAAACTGCAAAGAAGCTTTCTGAGAAACTGCTTTGGTATGTGTGCATTCATTTCACTGACTCAAATCTTTCTTATGGTTGAGTAGTTTGGAAACACTGGTTTTGTAGAATCTGCGAAGGGATATTTTGGAGCCCATTGAGGCCAATGGTGAAAAAGGAAATATCTTCATATAAAAACTAGAAAGAAGCTTTCGTAGAAATGCTTTATGATGTGTGCATTCATCTCACAGTGGTAAAATTTTATTTGATGGAGCAGTTAAGAAACACTGTTTTTATAGAATCTGCAAAGGGAAATTTGGGAGTGCATTGAGGTCTACGCTGTAAAAGGAAATATCTTTAGAGAAAAACTAGAAAGAAGTTTATTGAGAAACTGCTTTGGAAGTCTGTATTCATCTCACAGGGTTAAACGTTTCTTTGATGGAGCAATTTGGAAGCTATTTTTTTCGAATGTGTGAAGGGATATTTTGGAGTGCATTTAGGACTATGGTGAAAAAGGAAATATCTTCAGAGAAAAAACAGAAAGAAGCTTTCTGAGAAACTTCTTTGTGATGTGTGCATTCATCTCACAGAGGTAAACCTTTCCCTGATGGAGCAGTTGGGAAACACCATTTTTGGAGAATCTGCAAAGGGATATTTTGGAATGCATTGAGATCTATAGTGTAAAATGAAAAATCTTCAGATAAATACTAGAAAGAAACTTCCTGAGAAACTGGTTTGTGATGTGTGCATTCATCTCACAGATTTAAACTATTCTTTTGATAGAGCAGATTTTTGTAGAATCTGCAAATATATATTTGGGAGCCCATTGAGGCCTATGGTGAAAAAGGAAATATCTTCAGAGAAAAATTAGAAAGAAGTTTTCCTAGAAATTGCTTTGGGATGTGTGCATTCATCTCACAGAGGCAAACCTTTCCTGGATGGAGCAGTTGGGAAACACTGTTTTTGGAGAATCTTTGAAAGGATATTTGGGAGCACATTGAGGTCTATGCTGAAAAAGGAATTATCTTCAGAGAAAAACTAGAAAGAAGCTTATTGGGAAACTCCTTTCTGATTTTTGCATTAATCTCATAGGGTGAAACCTTTCTTTTGATGGAGCAATTTGGTAAGACTGCTTTTGTCGAATCTCTGAAGGGATATTTGGGAGTGCATTGAGGACTATGGTGAAACAGAAGATATCCTCAGAGAAAAACTAGAAAGAATCTTTCACAGAAACTTCTTTGGGATGTGTGTATTCATCTCAAAGAGTTAAATCTTTCTTTTGGTCTAGCAGTGTGGAAGCACTGTTTTTGTAGAATCTGCAAAAGGATATTTGGGAGAGAATTGAGGACTTTGGTGAAAAAGGAAATATCTTCTGATAAAAAGTAGAAAGAAGCTTTCTGAGAAACTACTTTCAGATGTGTGCATTCATCTAACAGAGTTAAAACTTACTTTTGATGGAGCAGTTTCAAAACACTGTTTTTGTAGAATCTGCAGAGGGATATTTGGGTTTACATTGTGGCCTATGGTGAAAAATAAAATATCATCACAGAAAAACCAGAAAGAAGCTTTCTGACAAAATGCGTTGTGATCTGTGCATTCACATCACAGAATTAAAGCCTTCTTTTGATGGAGCAGTTTGGCAAAACTGTTTTTGAAGAATCTGTGAAGGGATATTTGGGAGCGCATTGAGGCATATGGTGAAAAAGAAAATATCTTCAGGTAAACAATGGAAAGAAGCTTTCTGAGAAACTGCTTTGTGATGTGTGCATTCATCTCACAGAGTTAAACCTCTCTTTTGATGGAGCAGTTGGGAAACACTGTTTTTGTAGAATCTGCAGTGGGATACTGGGAGTGGATTGAGGCATGTGGTGAAAAAGGAAACATCTACAGAGAAAGACCAGAAAAAGCTTTCTGAGAACCGGCTTTGAGATGTGTGCATTCACCTCAGTGAAGAAAACCTTTCTTTTAATTGAGCAGATTGGAAAAACTGTTATTGAAGCATCCGTGAAAGGATATTTGGGAGGGCATTGAGGCCTATGATGAAAACGGAAATATCTTCAGAAAAAAAGTAGAAAGAAGCTGTCAGAAAAACTGCTTTGTGATGTGTGCATTCATCTCACAGAGTTAAACCTTTCTTTTGATTGAGCAGTATGGAAACACTGTTTTTGTAGAATCTGCAAAGGGATATTTGGGAGCACATTGAGGCCTATGGTGAAAAAGGTAATATCTTCAGACAAAAACTGGGAAGAAGCTTTCTGAGAAACTGCTTTGTGATGTGTGCAATCATCTCACTGAGTCAAATCTTTCTTTTGGTTGAGAAGTTTGGAAACACTTTTTCTGTAAAATCTGTGAAGGGATATTGATTAGCACATTGAGTCCTGTGGTGAAAAAAGAAATATCTTCAGAGAAAACTAGAAAGAAGCTTTCTGAGAAACTACTTTGTGGTGCACATTCATCTCACAGAGTTAAACGCTTCTTTTGATGTAGGTGTGTAACAGTTTTTGTAGAATCTGCAAAGTGGTATTTGGGAACCTGTTCAGGCATATGGTTAAGAAGGAAATATCTTCAGGAAAAAACTATAAAGAAGCTTTCTGAGAAGCTGCTTTGTGAAGTGTGCAATCACCTTGGAGATATAAACCTTTCTTTTCATTCAGCAGTTTGGAAACACAGTTATTGTCCATTCTGTGAATGGACATTTTGGAGCTCATTGAGGCCAATGGCGATAAAGTGAATATCCCAGGATAAAAAGTAGAAGGAAACTATTTGTAAAACCGCTTTGGGATGTGTGCATTCATCTCACAGAGATAAACGTTTCTTTTCATCCATCAGTTTGGAAACACTGTTTTTGTTGCGTCTGTGAAGGTACATTTGGGAGCGCATTCAGGCTTATGGTGAAAAAGACTATATCTTCAGATAAAAACCAGAAAGAATCTTTCTGGGAAACTGCTTTGTGATGTATGCATTCATCTCACAGAGTTAAACATTTCCTTTTATTCAGAGGTTTGGAAACACTCTTTTTGTAGAATCTGCAAAGGGATATTTGGGAGTTCATTGAAGTCTATGGTGAAAAAGAAAATACCTTCAGATAATAACTAGAAGGAACCTTTCTGAGAAACTGCTTTGTGATGTATGCATTCATCTCACAGAGTTAAACCATTCTTTGGATTCACCAGTTTGGAAACACTGTTTTTGTCCATTCTGCGAGTGGTCATTTGGGAGCTCATTGATGTCAATTGTAAAAAAAACGAATATCCCATGATAAAAACTGGAAAGAAGCTATCTGAGAAAACCCTTTGTAATGTATGCATTCATCACACAGACTTAAACATTTCCTTTCATTCGGTAGTTTGGAAACACTGTTTTTGTAGAATCTAGAAAGGGATATTTGGGTGCACATGGGGGTCTATGGTGAAAAAGGAAATACCTTCAGATGAAAAGCAGAAAGATGCTTTCTGAGAAATGGCTTTGTATTGTGTTCTTTAATCTCACATAGTGAAAACTTTCTTTTGATTCAGCTGTTTGGAAACTCTATTTTTGTCTATTTTGAGAATGGACATTTGGGGCTCATTGAGGCCTGTGGGGAAAAAACGATTATACCAGGATAAAAACTAGAAGGAAGCTAAGTGAGAAACCACTTTGTGATGTGTGCATTCATCTCACAGAGTCAAACTTTTCTTTTCATTAAGGAGTTTGAAAGCTCTGTTTTTCAAAATCTGTGAAGGGGTATTTGGGACTGAATTGAGCCCTATTGTGAAAAAGAAAATATCTTCAGATAAAAACTGGAAAGAAGCTTTCTGAGAAGCTCCTTTGTGATGTGTACATTCATCTCACAACGTTAAACATTTCTTTTGATTCAGCAGTTTGGAGACACTGTTTTTCTACAATCTATGAAGGGATATTTGTGAGAACATAGAGGCCTATTGTGAAAAAGTCAGTATCTTCAGATAAAAATCAGAAAGAAGCTTTCTGAGAACCTGCGTTGTGATGTGTGCAGTTTTCCCACAGATGTAAACCTTTCTTTCAATTCAGCAGTTTGCAAAGACTGTTTTTGTCCATACTGTGAATTGACTTTGGGGACTCATTGAGGCCAATGGAGGAAAAGCTAATATCCCAGGATAAAAACCAGAAGGAAGCTATATGAGCAACTGGTTTGTGATGTGTGTATTCATCTCACAGAGTTAAAAGTTTCTTTTCATTCAGCAGTTTAGAAACACTGTTTTTGTAGAATTTATGAAGGGATAATTGGGCGTGCCTTGATGCCTATTGTGAAATAGAAAATATCCTCAGATAAAAACTAGAAGGAAGCTATCTCAGAAACCATTTCGTGATGTGTGCATCCATCTCACAGAGTTAAACATTGCTTTTCACTCAGTAGTTTGAACACTGTTTTTGTCAAATCTGTGAAGGCATATCTGGTAGTGCTTTGAAGCCTATGGTGATAAAGAAAATATATTCAGATGTAAACTAGAAAGAAGCTTTCTGGGAAACTGCTTTGTGATGTCTACATCCATCTCACAGAGGTAAACCTTTCCTTTGATTCAGAGGTTTGGAAACACTGATTTTGTAGAATCTGTGAAGGGATATTTGGGGGCACATTGAGGCCTATGCTGAAGTAGAAAATAACTTCAGATAAAAACCAGAAGGAAGGTTTCTGAGAAACCGCTTTGTGATGTGTGCATTCATCTCACAGATATAAAATTCTTTTGATTCAGCAGTTTGGAAACACTGTTTTTCTCCATTCTGTGAATGGACATTTTGGAGGTCATTGGGGCCAATGGTGAAAAACGAATATCCTGGGATAAAAACTAGAAGGAATCAATCTGAGAAACCGCTTTGTGATGTGTGCATTCATTTCTCAGTGTTAAACCTTCCTTTGATTTAGCAGTTTGGAAACAACGTTTTTGTAGAATATGTGAAGGGATATTTTGGAGCACATTGAGAGGCCAATGGTGAAAAAGAAAATATCTTCAGATAATAAGTAGAAAGATGCTTAATGAGAAACAGTTCATGATGTGTGCATTCATCTGACAGAGTTGAACATTTCATTTGATTCAGCAGTTTGGAAGCACTATTTTTGTATAAACTGTGATTGGATATTTGGTAGTGCATTGAGGCAAATGGTGAATAAGAAAACATCTTCAGATTAAACCTGGAAATAAGCTTTCAGAGAAACTGCTTTATGATGTGTGCATTCATATCACAGAGGTGAAACTTTCTTTTGAATCAGCAGTTTGGAAACCTCGTTTTTGTCCATTCAGTGAATGGACCATTGGGAACTCATATAGGTTACATGGCCAAAAAGTTAATATCCCAAGATAAAAACTAGAAGGAAACTATCGGACAAACTGCATCATGCTATGTGTATTCATCTCACAGAATTAAAACTTTCTTTTCATTCAGCAGTTTGGAAAAACTGTTTTTGTAAAACGTGCCAAGGGATATTTAGGAGTGCCTTGAGGCCTGTGGTGAAAAAGAAAAAATCTTCAGATAAAAACTAGAAAGAATCATTCTGAGAAACTGCTTTGTGATGTACGCATTCATCTCACAGAGTTAAACATTTCTTTTAATTCAGCAGTTTGGAAACATTGTTTTTGTAGAATATGCCAAGGGATATTTTGGAGCATATTGAACCCTATGTTCAAAAGAAAATATCTTCAGATAAAAATTAGAAGGAAGCTTTTTGGGAAACTGCTTTGTGATGGGTGCATTCATCTCACAGAGTTCAAATTTTCTTATGATTCAGCAGTTTGCAAAAACTGTTTTTGTCCATTCTGTGAATGGACATTTGGGAGCTCTTTGAGGCCAATTGCAAAAAAGGGAATATCCCAGGAGAAAAACCAAAAGAAAGCTATCTGAGAATTTTTTCTGTGATGTGTGTATGTATCTGACAGAATTAAAAGTTTATTTTCATTCAGCAGTTTGGAAACACGATTTTTGTAGAATTTGCAAAGAGATATTTTGGAGTGCATTTAGGCCTATGGTGAAAGAAAATCTTCAGATAAAAACTAGAAATAAGCTTTCTGAGAAACAGCTTTGTGATGTGTGAATTCATTTCACAGAGTTATACCTTTCTTTTGATTCAGAGGTTTGGAAACATTGTTTTTGTAGAATCTGTGAAGGAATATCTGGGAGCAAAGGGAGGGCTAAGGTGAAAAAGAAAATATCTTCAAATAAAAACCAGAAAGATGTTTTCTGAGAAACGGCTTTATGATGTGTCCATTCATCTCACACTGTTAAAACTTACTTTTAATTCAGCAGTTCGAAAACACTGTTTTTGTCCAATCTGCAAACGGACATTTGGGAGCTCATTGAGGCCAATGGCAAAAAAGTGGATATCCCAGGATAAACACTCAAAGGAAGCTATCTGAGAAACTGCTTTGTAATGTGTACATTTATCTCAAAGAGTTAAACCATTGTTTTCATTCTGCAGATTGTAAACACTGTTTTTCTAGAATCCGTGAAAGGATATTTGGGAGCACATTGAGGTCAATGCTGAAAAAGGCAATATCTTCAGGAAAAAAAGTGAGAAAAAAGCTTTCTGAGTAACTGCTTTGTGATGTGTGCCTTCATCTCGCAGTGTGAAACATTTCGTTGCATTCAGCATTTTTGAAATACTGTTTTTGTGGAATCTGCAGAAGGATATTTGGGAATGCATTGATGTCAATGGTGAAAAACAAAATATCTTCAGATAGTAACTAGAAAGAAGCTTTCTAAGGAACTGCTTTCTGATGTGTGAATTAATCTTACAGAATTAAACCTCTCCTTTGATTCAGAGGTTTGGAAACACTTTTTTGTAGAATCTGCAAAGGGATATTTGTGAGCACACGAATTCCGATAGTGAAAAAGAAAATATCCTCAGATAAAATCTAGAGAGAATCTTTCTAAGAAACTGCTTTGTGACGTGTGCATACATCTCACAGACTTAAACCTTTCTTTTGATTCAGCAGTTTGGAAACGCTGTTTTTGTAGAATCTGTGAAGGGATATTTGGAATCGCATTGAGGCCTAAAGTTAAAAATAAAATACCTTAAGATAAAAACTAGAAAGAAACTTTCTGAGAAACTGCTTTGTGATGTGTGCTTTCATCTCACAGAGTTAAACCTTTGTTTTGGTTCAGCAGTTTGAAAACACTGTTATTGTCCATTTTGAGAATGGACATTTGGGAGCTCATTGATTTCAAAGGTGAAAAAGTGAACATCCCAGGATAAAAACTAGAAGAAAGCTATCTGGGAAACTGTGCTGTGATGTGTGCATTCATCTCTCAGTTTGAAACGTTGCATTTCATTCCACAGTTTGGAAAAATGGTTTTTGTAGAACCTGTGAAGGGACGATTGGGAGCATCTTGAGGCCTAGTGTGAAAGAGGAAATATCTTAAGAGAAAAACCAAAAAGAAGCTTTCTGAGAAATTGCTTTGTGATATGTGCATTCATCTCACAGACGTAAAAATTTCTTTTCATTCAGCAATTTCAAAACAATGTCTTTGTAGAAACTGTGAAGGGATATTGCAGAGTGCCTTGAGGCCTATGGTGAAAAAGTAAACATCTTCAGATAAACTCTAGAAACAAGCTTTCTGAGAAACTGCTTTGTGATGTGTGCATTCATCTCACAGATGCAAACCTTTCTTTGGATTCAGCAGTTTGGGAACACTGTTTTGTATATTCTGCAAATAAACATTTGGGAGCTCATTGAGGCCCATGCTGTAAAAGTGATCACCCAAGCATAAAACTAAAAGGAAGTTTTGTGAGAAACCACTTTGTGATGTGTCCATTCATCTCACAGGGTTAAACATTTTGTATTCAGCAGTTTGGAAACACTCTTTTGTCCATCCCGTGTTAAACATTTCTTTTGATTCAGCAGTTTGGAAACACGCTTTTGTCCATTCTGCAAATGGACAATTCAGAGCTCATTGAGGCCAATGCAAAAAAAGCAAATATCCCAGGTTAAAAACTAGAAAGAAGCTCTCTGAGAAGCTGCTTTGTGATGCCTGCATTCATCTTGAAGAAATAAACCTTTCTTTTCAATCAGCAGTTTGGAAACACTGTTTTGCAGAAACTAGGAAGGAATATTTGGGAGCATATTGAGACCTTTGTTGAAAAAGGAAACATCTTCAGATAAAAAAAGAAAGAAGCTCTCTAAGAAACTGTTTTGTGATGTGTGCATTAGTCTCACAGACTAAAACTTGTCTTTGGATTCAGCAGTTCTGAAACACTGTTTTTGTCCATTTTGCAAATGGTCTATTGTGAGCTCATTGAGGCCAATGTCAAAAAATGGAACTTCCCAGAATAAAAACTAGAAGGAAGATATCCGAGATACTGTTTGTGGTGTGTGCATTCACCTCACAGAGTTAAACCTTATTTTAATTTAGCAGTTTGGAAACAGTGTTTCTGTATAATCTGCAAAGGGAAATTAGGGAGTGTACTGAGGCCTATGGTGAAAAAGGAAACATCTTCAGACACTAACAAAAAGAAGCTTTCTGTGAAACTGCTTTGGGAAGTATGCATTCACTTCACAGAGGTAAACTTCCCTTTGGGTTCAGCAGTCTGGAAGCACTGTTTTTGTACATTCTATGAATAAACATTTAGGAACTCACTGAGGTGAATGGCAAAAAAAAAAAAAAATCCCAGGATAAAAACCAGAAGGAAGCTATCTGAGAAACTGCCATTGATGTGTGCATTCATCTTGCACATCTAAACTTTTGTTTTCATTCATCTGTTTGGAAACACTGTTTTTATCAATTCTGCAAATGGACATTTGGGAGCTCATTGAAGCCAAAGGTGAAAAAGGTAATATCCAGGATAAAAAAAAGAAGGCACCTCTATGAGAAGCAGCTTTGTGATGTGTGCATTCATCTCACAGAGTTAAAACTTTCTTTTCATTCATCAGTTTGGAGACACTGTTTTTGTAGAAACTGCAAAGGGATATTTGGGAGTGCATTGAGGTCTATGGTGAAACACGAATGATCTTCAGATAAGAAGTAGAAAGACGTTTTCTAAGAAACTGCTTTGTGATGTGTGCATTCATCTCACAGAGTTAAACTTTTCTCTGAATTCAGAAGTTTGGAAACACGGTTTTTGTCCATTGTGTGAATGGACATTTGGGAGCAAATTAAGGCCAATGGTGAAAAACAGAACATCCCAGGACAAAAACTAGAAGGAAGCCATTTGAGAAACTGCCATTGATGTGTGTGTTAATCTGGGAGATCTAATTTTATTTTATTTTATTATTATTATACTTTAAGTTTTAGGATACATGTGCACAATGTGCAGATTAGTTACATATGTATACATGTGCCATGCTGGTGTGCTGCACACATTAACTCGTCATTTAGCATTAGGTATATCTCCTAATGCTATCCCTCCACCCTCGCCCCACCCCACAACAATCCCCAGAGTGTGATGTGTCCCTTCCAGGGTCCATGTGTTCTCATTGTTCAATTCCCACCTATGAGTGAGAACATGCGGTGTTTGGTTTTTTGTCCTTGCAATAGTTTACTGAGAATGATGATTTCCAATTTCATCCATGTCCCTACAAAGGACATGAACTCATCATTTTTTATGGCTGCATAGTATTCCATGGTGTATATGTGACACATTTTCTTGATCCAGTCTATCATTGTTGGACATTTGGCTTGGTTCCAAGTCTTTGCTATTGTGAATAGTGCCGCAATAAACATACATATGCATGTGTCTCTATAGCAGCATGATTTATAGTCCTTTGGGTATATACCCAGTAATGGGATGGCTGGGTCAAATGGTATTTCTAGTACTAGATCCCTGAGGAATCGCCACACGGACTTCCACAATGGTTGAACTAGTTTACAGTCCCACCAACAGTGTAAAGGTGTTCCTATTTCTCCACATCCTCTCCAGCAGCTGTTGTTTTCTGACTTTTTAATGATCGCCATTCTAACTGATGTGAGATTGTATCTCGTTGTGGTTTTGATTTGCATTTCTCTGATGGCCAGTGATGATGACCATTTTTTCAAGTGTTTTTTGGCTGCATAAATGTCTTCTTTTGAGAAGTGTCTGTTCTTATCCTTCGACGACTTTTTGATGGGGTTGTTTGTTTTTTTCTTGTAAATTTGTTTGAGTTCATTGTAGATTCTGGATATTAGCCGTTTGTCAGCTGAGTAGGTTGTGAAAATTTTCTCCCATTCTGTAGATTGCCTGTTCACTCTGATGGTAGTTTCTTTTGCTGTGCAGAAGATCTTTATTTTAATTAGATCCCATTTGTCAATTTTTGCTTTTGTTGCCATTGCTTTTGGTGTTTTAGACATGAAGTCCTTGCCCATGCCTATGTCCTGAATGGTATTGCCTAGATTTTCTTCTAGGGTTTTTATGGTTTTACATCTAACATTTAAGTCTTTAATCCATCTTGAATTGATTTTTGTATAAGGTGTAAGGAAGGGATACAGTTTCAGCTTTCTACATATGGCTAGCCAGTTTTCCCAGCACCATTTATTAAATAGGGAATCCTTTCCCCATTGCTTGGTTTTCTCAGGTTTGTCAAAGATCAGATAGTTGTAGATATGCAGAATTATTTCTGAGGGCTCTGTTCTGTTCCATTTATCTATATCTCTGTTTAGGTACCAGTACAATGCAGTTTTGGTTACTGTAGCCTTGTAGTATAGTTTGAAGTCAGGTAGTGTGATGCCTCCAGCTTTGTTCTTTTGGTTTAGGATTGACTTGGCGATGTAGGCTCTTTTTTGGTTCCATATGAACTTTAAAGTAGTTTTTTCCAATTCTGTGGAGAAGGTCATTGGTAGCTTGATGGAGATGGCATTGAATCTATAAATTACCTAGGGTAGAATGGCCATTTTCACGATATTGATTCTTCCTACCCATGAGCATGGAATGTTCTTCATTTGTTTGTATCCTCCTTTGTTTCATTGAGCAGTGGTTTGCAGTTCTCCTTGAAGAGTTCCTTCACATCCCTTATAAGTTAGACTCCTAGGTATTTTATTCTCTTTGAAGCGATTGTGAATGGGAGTTCACTCGTGATTTGGCTCTCTGTTCGTCCGTTATTGGTGTATAAGAATGCTTGTGATTTTTGCACATTGATTTTGTATCCTGAGACTTTGCTGAAGTTGCTTATCAGCTTAAGGAGATTTTGGGTTGAGACAATGGGGTTTTCTAGATATACAATCCTGTCATCTGCAAACAGGGACAATTTGACTTCCTCTTTTCCTAATTGAGTACCCTTTATTTCCTTCTCCTGCTTAATTGCCCTGGCCAGCACTTCCAACACTATGTTGAATAAGAGTGGTGAGAGAGGGCATCCCTGACTTGTGCCAGTTTTCAAAGGGAATGCTTCCAGTTTTTGCCCATTCAGTATGATATTGGCTGTGGGTTTGCCATAGATAGCTCCTATTATTTTAAGATACATCCCATCAATACATAATTTATTGAGAGTTTTTAGCATGAAGAGTTGTTGAATTTTGTCAAAGGCCTTTTCTGCATCTATTGAGATAATCATGTGGTTTTTGTCTTTGGTTCTGTTTATATGCTGGATTACATTTATTGATTTGCATATATTGAACAAGCCTTGCATCGCAGGGATGAAGCCCACTTGATCATGGTGGATAAGCTTTTTGATGTGCTGCTGGATTCGATTTGCCAGTATTTTATTGAGGATTTTTGCATCAATGGTCATCAAGGATATTGGTCTAAAATTCTCTTTTTTGGTTGTGTCTCTGCCCAGCTTTGGTATCAGGATGATGCTGGCCTCATAAAATGAGTTAGGGAGGATTGCCTCTTTTTCTATTGATTGGAATAGTTTCAGAAGGAATGGTACCAGTTCCTCCTTGTACCTCTGGTAGAATTGGGCTATGAATCCACCTGGTCCTGGACTCTTTTCCTTGGTAAGCTATTGATTATTGCCACAATTTCAGAGCCTGTTATTGGTCTATTCAGAGATTCGACTTCTTCCTGGTATAGTCTTGGGAGGGTGTATGTGTCAAGGAATTTATTCATTTCTTCTAGATTTTCTAGTTTATTTGTGTAGAAGTGTTTGTAGTACTCTGATGGTAGTTTGTATTTCTGTGGGATCGGTGGTGATATCCCCTTTATCATTTTTTATTGCGTCTATTTGATTCTTCTCTCTTTTCTTCTTTATTAGTCTTTCTAGCAGTCTATCAACTTTGTTGATCATTTCAAAAACCAGCTCCTGGATTCATTAATTTTTTGAAGGGTTTTTTGTGTCTCTATTTCCTTCAGTTCTGCTCTGATTTTAGTTATTTCTTGCCTTCTGCTAGCTTTTGAATGTGTTTGCTCTTGCTTTTCTAGTTCTTTAATTGTGATGTTAGGGTGTCAATTTTTGATTTTTCCTGCTTTCTCTTGTGGACATTTAGTGCTATATATTTCCCTCTACACACCGCTTTGAATGCGTCCCAGAGATTCTGGTATGTTGTGTCTTTGTTCTCGTTGGTTTCAAAGAACATCTTTATTTCTGCCTTCATTTCTTTATGTACCCAGTAGTGATTCAGGAGCAGGTTGTTCAGTTTCCAAGTAGTTGAGCTGTTTTGAGTGAGTTTCTTAATCCTGAGTTCTAGTCTCATTGCACTGTGTTCTGAGAGACTGTTTGTTATAATTTCTGTTCTTTTACATTTGCTGATGAAGGCTTTACTTCCAACTCTGTGGTCAATTTTGGAATAGGTGTGGTGTGGTGCTGAAAAAAATGTATATTCTGTTGATTTGGGGTGGAGAGTTCTGTAGATGTCTATTAGGTCTGCTTTGTGCAGAGCTGAGTTCAATTCCTGGGTATCCTTGTTCACTTTCTGTCTCATTGATCTGTCTAATGTTGACAGACAGTGGGGTGTTAAAGTCCCCCTTTATTATTTTGTAGGAGTCTAAGTCTCTTTGTAGGTCACTCAGGACTTGCTTTATGAGTCTCCATGCTCCTGTATTGTATGCATATATATTTAGGATACTTAGCTCTTTTTGTTGAATTGATCCCTTTACCATTACCTAATGGCCTTCTTTGTCTCTTTTGATCTTTGTTGGTTTAAAGTCTGTTTTATCAGAGACTAGGATTGCAACACCGGCCTTTTTTTTGTTTTCCATTTGCTTGTTAGATCTTCTTGCATCTTTTTATTTTGAGCCTATGTGTGTCTCTGCATGTGAGTTGGGTTTCCTGAATACAGGACACTGATGGATCTTGACTCTTTCTCCAATTTGCCAGTCTGTGTCTTTTAATTGGAACATTTAGTCCATTTACATTTAAAGTTAATATTGTTATGTGTGAATTTGATCCTGTCATTATGATGTTAGCTGGCTATTTTGCTCATTAGTTGTTGCAGTTTCTTCCTAGCCTCGACAGTCTTTACAATTTGGCATGATTTTGCAGTGGCTGGTACTGGTTGTTCCTTTCCATGTTTAGTGCTTCCTTCAGGAGCTCTTTTAGGGCAGACCTGTTGGTGACAAAATCTCTCAGCATTTACTTGTCTGTAAAGTATTTTATTTCTCCTTCACTTATGGAGCTTTGTTTGGCTGCATATGAAATTCTGGGTTGAAAATTCTTTTCTTTAAGAATGTCGAATATTGGCCCCCACTCTCTTCTGGCTTGTAGAGTTTCTGCCGAGAGATCCGCTGTTAGTCTGATGGGCTTCCCTTTGTGGGTAACCCGACCTTTCTCTCTAGCTGCCCTTAAGATTTTTTCCTGCATTTCAACTTTGGTGAATCTGACAATTATGTGTCTTTGACTTGCTCTTCTCGAGAAGTATCTTTGTGGCGTTCTCTGTATTTCCTGAATCTGAATGTTGGCCTGCCTTGCTAGATTGGAGAAGTTCTCCTGGATAATATCCTGCAGAGTGTTTTCCAACTTGGTTCCATTCTCCGCATCACTTTCAGGTACACCAATCAGACATAGGTTTGGTCTTTTCACATAGTCCCCTATTTCTTGGAGGCTTTGTTTGTTTCTTTTTATTCTTTCTTCTCTAAACATCCCTTCCCATTTCATTTCATTCATTTCATCTTCCATCACTGATACCCTTTCTTCCAGTTGATCACATCAGCTCCTGAGGCTTCTGAATTCTTCACATAGTTCTTGAGCCTTGGCTTTCAGCTCCATCAGCTCCTTTAAGCACTTCTCTGTATTGGTTATTCTAGTTATACATTCGTCTAAATTTTTTTCAAAGTTTTTAACTTCTTTGCCTTTGGTTTGAATTTCCTCCTGTAGCTCAGGGTAGTTTGATCATCTGAAGCCTTCTTCTCTCAACTTGTCAAAGTCATTTTCTGTCCAGCTTTGTTGCATTGCTGGTGAGGAACTGTGTTCTTTTGGAGGAGGAGAGGCGCTCTGCTTTTTAGAGTTTCCAGTTTTTCTGCTCTGTTTTTTCCCCATCTTTGTGGTTTTATCTATTTTTGGTCTTTGATGATGGTTATGTACAGATGGGTTTTTGTGTGGATGTCCTTTCTGTTTGTTAGTTTTCCTTCTAACAGACAGGACCCTCAGCTGCAGGTCTGTTGGAGTTTGCTAGAGGTCCACTCTAGACCCTGTTTGCCTGGGTATTAGAAGCGGTGGCTGCAGAACAGTGGATTTTCATGGACCTTGAATGCTGCTGTCTGATCGTTCCTCTGGAAGTTTTGTCTCAGAGGAGTACCCAGCTGTGTGAGGTGTCAGTCTGCCCCTACTGGGGGGTGCTTCCCAGTTAGGCTGCTCTGTGGTCGGGGGTCAAGGTCCCACTTGCAGGGGCTTTCTGCCCATTCTCAGATCTCCAGCTGCATGCTGGGAGAACCACTGCTCTCTTCAAAGCTGTCAGACAGGGACATTTAAGTCTGCAGAGGTTACTGCTGTCTTTTTTTTGTGCCCTACCCCCAGAGGTGGAGCCTACAGAGGCGGGCAGGCCTCCTTGAACTGTGGTGTGCTCTACCCAGTTCGAGCTTCCTGGCTGCTTTGTTTACCTAAGCAATCCTGGGCAATTGCAAGTTCCCCTCTCCCCGCCTCCCTGCCACCTTGCAGTTTGAGCTCAGACGGCTGTGCTAGCAATCAGTGAGACTCCGTGGGCGTAGGACCCTCCAAGCCATGTGCAGGATATAATCTCCTGGTGCACCGTTTTTTAAGCCTTTTTGAAAAGCACAGGATTAGGATGGGAGTGACCCGATTTTCCAGGTGCCATCTGTCACCCCTTTCTTTGACTAGGAAAGGTAACTTCCTGACCCCTCATGCTTCCTGAGTGAGGCAATACCTCAACCTGCTTCAGCTCATGCACAGTGTGCTGCACCCACTGTCCTGAACCCCCTGTCTGGCAATTCCTAGTGAGATGAACCTGGTACCTCAGATGGAAATGCAAAAATCACCCATCTTCCGTGTCGCTCACACTGGGAGTTGTAGACCAGAGCTGTTCCTATTCGGCCATCTTGGCTGCCTCTTCTAATTTTTTTTTCATTCAGCAGTTTGGAATCTCTGTTTTCACAGAATCTGCAAAGGGATAGGTGGGAGCACATTGAGGACTCTGTTGAAAAAGGAAACAATTTCAATAAAAACTAGAAAGAGTCTCCTGACAAATGGCTTTGTGATGTGTGCATTCATCTCATGGAGTTTAAATTTCCTTTGGATTCAGCAGTTTGGAAACCCTGTTTTTGTCCATTCTGCAAATGGACATTTTGTAGCTCATTGAGGCCAATGGTGAAAAAGCAAATATCCCAGGATAAGAAGTAAAACGAAGCTATCTGATTAAATGCTTGGTGATATGTGCATTCATCTTGCAGAGTTAAAATATGCTTCTCTTTCAGCAATTTGGAAACACTGTTTTTGTCCATTCTGCAAATGGACTTTTGGGAGCTCTTTGATTCAAATGGTGAAAAAGTGAATAATTCAGGATAAACACTAGAGGAAGGCTATCTGAGGAACAACTTTGTGAAGTGTGTCTTCATCTCACAGCGTTAAAATTTTCTTTTCATTCAGCAGTTGGGAAACACTGTTTTGTAGAATCTGCAAAGGGATATTTGGGAGTGCATTGAGGCCTATGTTCAAAAATGAAACATCTTCAGATAAAAACTAGAAAGACACTTTCTGGGAAACTGCTTTGTAATGTGTGCATTCCACTCATGGTGTTAAACATTTATTTGGATTCAGAAGTTTGGAAACACTCTTTTTGTCCATTCTGTGAATGGATATTTTGGAGCTCATTGAAGGCAATGGAGAAAAAGTGCATATCCCAGGATTAAAACTAGAATGAAGCTCTCTGGGAAATGGATTTGCAATGTGTGCATTCATCTCACAGGTAAACATTTCTTATCATTCAGCAGTTTGGAAACACTGTTTTTGTAAAACCTGTGAAGGCACATTTGGGAGGTCATTTAGGCTTGTGGTGAAAAAGGAAACATATTCAGATAAAAACTAAAAAGAAGCTTTCTGTGAAACTACTTTGTGATGTGCACATTCAAGTCACACAGTTAAACTTTTCTTTGGATTCAGGAGTGTGGAAACACTATTTTTGTCCATTCGGTGAATGGACATTTGGGAGCTCATTAACGCCAATGGTGAAAAAGTGAACATCACAGGATAAAAACTAGAAGGAAGCTCTCTGAGAACCCGCTTTGTGATGTGTACATTCATCTCGCAGGTTTACATTTCTCTTTTCATTAAGCAGATTGGAAACACTGTTTTTATGGGATCTTCAAAGGTATATTTGGGATAGCATTGAGGCCTCTGGTGAAAATGGAAACACCTTCAGATGAAAACTAGAAAGAAGCTTTCTGAGAAACTGCTTTGTGATGTGTGCATTCATCTCACAGAGTTAAAACTTTCTTCAAATTCAACGGTTTGGAAACAGCCCTTTGCTCCATTCTGTGAGTGGACATTTGGAGATCATTTGGGCTTATGGCAAAAATCATAAGTCCCAGAAAAAAAAACAGAAGGAAGCTATCTGAGAAACCACTTTGTGATGTGTGCATTCAACTCACAGAGGTAAAACTTTCTTTTCATTCAGCAGTTTGTTAAAACTGTTTTTGCAGAATCTACAAAGGGATACTTGGGAGCGCATTGAGGCCTATGGTGAAAAAGGAAACTTCTTTAGACAAAAACTGAAAAGAAGCTTTCTGAGAAACTTTGGAGAAGTTTAGACAAAAACTGAGAAGCTTTGGAATGTGTGCATTCATCTCACAAATTTAAACATTTCTTTCATTTCAGTCTCTAAAAGAGACTGTTTAGAAACAGTCTCTTTGTCCATTCTGTGAATAGACATTTGGGATTTAACTGAGGCCAATGGCAAATAAGGAAATATCGTATGATTAAAACAAGAAGGAAGCTATTGGAGAAACCACTTTGTCAGTGTGCATTCACCTCGCAGAGGTAATCCTTTCTTTTCATACAGCAGTTTGGAAACTCTGTTTTTGTAGAATATGTGAAGGGATAATTGGGTGTGCAGTGAGAAATATGGTGAAAAAGGAAAGATCTTCTGATGAAAATTAGAAAGAAGCTTTCTGGGAAACTGCTTAATGATATGTGTGTTCAGCTCACAGAGTTAAAACTTTCTCTGGATTCAGCAGTTTGTAAACATATTTTTGTCCATCTGGGTATGAACATTTGGGAGCTCTTTGAGGCCAAAGCCAAAAAAGCGAATATCCCAGGATAAAAACTAGAAGGAAGCTATCTTAAAAACTGCTTTGTGAGGTGTGCATTCATCTCACATAATTGAATATTTCTTTTCATTCAGCAGATTGGAAACACTGTTTCTGTAGCAACTGCAAAGGGATATTTGGGAGTGCATTGAGACCTATGCAGGAAAAGGAAACATCTTCAGATAAAATCTACAAAGAACTTCTGACAAACTGCTTTGTGAAGTGTGCATTAATCTCAAAGAGTTAAACGTTTCATTTGATTCAGCATTTTGGAAACACTGTTTCAAATGGACATTTGGGAGGTCATTGAGTCTATTGGTGAAAAATCGAATATCCCAGCATAAAAACTAGAAGGAAGCTATCTGAAAAAATGACTTGTGATGTGTGCATTCATCTCGCAGAGATAATCCTTTCCTTTCATTCAGCAGTTTGGAAACACAGGTTTTGTAGAATCTGCCAAGGGATAATTGAAATCACATTGAGTCCTAAGGTGAAAAATGAAACATCTTCGGACAAAAACTAGAATGAAGCTTTCTGAGAAACTGCTTTGTGATGTTTGCATTCATCTCACAGATTTAAAACTTTCCTTGGATTCAGCAGTTTTGGAACACACTTTTTTTCCATTCTACAAATGGACATGTGGGAACTCTGGGCCAATGGCAAAAAAGTGAATATCACAGGAAGAAAACTAGAAGGAAGCTCTCTGAGAAACTGCTTTGTGAAGTGTACATTCATGTCACAGAGTTAAACCTCTCTTTTCATTCAGAATATTTGAAACACTGTTTTTGTAGAATCTGCGAGGGGATATTTGCTAGCTCATTGAGGCCTATAGTGAAAAAGGAAATATCTTCATACAAAAACCAGAAAGAGGCTTTCTGAGAAACTCCTTTTATGTGTGCATTCATCTGACAGGATTAAACCTTTCTTTGGATTCAGCAGTTTGGAAACAATTTTTGTCCATTCTGCGAATGGACATTTGGGAGCTCATTGAAGCCAGTGGTGAAAAAGCGAGTATCCCAGGATAAAAACTAGAAGGAAGCTATCTGAGAAATGGCTTTGCAATGTGCGCATTCATCTCACACAGATAAACATTACTTTTCAATCAGCCGTTTGGAAACACTGCTTTTGTCCATTCGTAGAATGGACATTTTGTATCTCATTGAGGCCAATGCTGAAAAACGGAATATCACATGAGAAAACTTAGAAGGGACCTATGTGAGAAACCACTTTGTGATATGTGCATTCATTTCACAGAGTTAAAACTCTCTTTCCATTCAGCAGTTTGGAAACAATGTTTTTGTAGAATCTGTGAAGGGATATTTGGGAGCGCATTGAGGCCTATGGCGAAAAAGGAATATTTTCAGATAAAAACTAGAAAGCAGCTTTCTGAGAAACTGCTTTGTGATGTGTACATTCATCTCACATTTAAACCTTTCTTTGAATTCTGCAGCTTCAAAACACTGTTTTTGTCCATTCTGCAAAAGGAAATTTTGGAGCTCACTGAGGTCAATACAGAAAAAGCGAATATTCCAGGATAAAAACTAGAAGGAAGCATTCTGAGAAACTGCTTTGTGATGTGTGCATTCATCTTGCAGAATTAAAACTTTCTTTTCATTCAGTAGTTTGGAAACACTGTTTTTGTTGAATGTGTGAAGGATTATTTGGGAGCACATTGAAGCCTATGGTGAAAAAGAAAACATCTTCAGATAAAAATTAGAAAGAACCTTTCTGAGAAACTACTTTGTGTTGTGTGCATTCATCTCAGAGTTAAATATTTCTTTCAATACCACAGTTTGGAAACACTGATTTGTCCATTGTGTGAATGTACATTTGGGAGCTCAGAAGCCAATGGCAAAAGAGTGAATATCCCAAGATAAAAACTAGAAGGTACCTATTTGAGAAACTGCTTTGTGATATGTGCATTCATCTCTCAGAGTTCAATCTGTCTTTTCATTCAGCAGTTTAGAAACACTGTTTTTGTAGAATCTGTGAAGGGATATTTCAGAGCGCATTGAGACCTATGGTGAAACAGGAATATCTTCAGATAAAAAGAAGAAAGAAGCTTTCTGAGAAACTGCTTTGGAGGTGTGCATTCATATCACAGAGTTAAATCTTTCTTTGGATTCAGCAGCTTGGAAACACTGCTTTTGTGCATGATGCAAATAGACATTTCAGAGCTCATTGAGGCCAAAGGCAATAAAACAAATATCCCAGGATAAAACCTAGAAGAAAGCTATCTGAGAAACGACATTGTGATGTGTGCATTCATCTCACAGAGTTAAACATTTGTTTTCTTTCCACAGTTTGGAAATATTGTTTTTATAGAATCTGCGAAGGTATATTTGGGTGTGCATTGAGGCCTATTATGAAAAAGGAAACATTTTCAGATAAAAACTAGAAAGAAGCTTTCTGAGAAACTGCTTTGTGATGTGTGCATTTGTCTCACAGTTAAAGTTTTCTTTGAATTCTACAGTTTGGAAACATTGTTTTTGCCCATTCTGTGAATGGACATTTTGGAGCTCATTGAGGCCAGTGGTGAAAAAGCTTATATTCCAGGTTGAAAACTAGAAGGAATCTATCTGAGATACCACTTAGTGATTTCTGCATTCATCTCGCACATTTAAACCTTTCTTTTCATTCAACAGATTGCAAATACTGTTTTTGTAGAATCTGAGAAGGGATATTTGGGAGCACATTGAGGCCTATCGTGAAAAAGAATTATCCTCACATAAAAACTAGAAAGAAGCTTTCTGAGAAACTGCTTTGTGATGTGTGCTTACATCTCACAGTTAAACATTTCTTTCAATTGTGCAGTTTGGAAACCCTGTTTTTGTGCATTCTACGAATGGACATTGGAGGCCTCATTGAGGGCAATGTCAAAAATGGAATACACCAGGATAAAAACGAGAAGGAATCTACCTGAGAAACTGCTCTCTGATGTGTGACTTCATCTCACAGGGTTTAACCTTTCTTTGGTTTCAGCAGTTTGGAAACACTGGTTTTGTCTATTCTATGAATGGACATTTTGGAGAAGATTGATGCCTATGGTCAAAACGGAAATATCTTCAGATAAAAACTGGAAAGAAGCTTTCAGAGAAATTGCCTTGAAATTGTGCACTCATCTCACAGTTTTAAACCTTTCTTTTGATTCAGCAGTTCAGAAACACTGTTTTAGTCAATTATGTGAAAGTACCCTTTGGAGCTCACTGAGGCCAAAGGTGAAAAATGGTATACACTGGGATATAAACAAGAAGTAAGCTACATTACAAACTGCTTTGTGATGTGTGCATTCATCTCATAGATTTAAACATTTCTTTTCATTCAGCAGTTTGGAAACACTGCTTTTGTAGAATCTGCGAAGGGATATTTGGGAGCGCATTGAGGCCCTTGGCATAAAAGGAAACATCTCCAGATAAAAACGTGAAGGAAGCTTTCTGAGAAACTGCTTTGTGATTGTGCATTCATCTAACAGAGTTAAAAACTTCTTTGGATTCAGAGGTTGGGAACCCTGTTTTTGTCCATTCTGCCAATGGTCATTTGGGAGCTCATTAAGGCAAAATGTGGAAAAACAAATATCCCATGATAAAAAGTAGAAGGAAGCTATATAAGAAACCACTTTGTGATGTGTGCATTCTTCTCACAGAGTTAAAAATTTATTTTCATTCAGCAGTTTGAAAACAATGTTTGTGAAGAATCTGCAATGGGATATTTGGGAGCGCATGGAAGTCTATGGTGAAAAAGGAAAAGTTTTCACATAAAAACTAGAAAAAAGCATTTTCAGAAACTGCTTCATGATGCGTGGATTCATCCCACAGAGTAAAAACTTTCTTTTGATTCAGCAGTTTGGAAACACTGTTTTTGTCCATTCTTCAAAGGTACATTTGGGAGCTCATTGAGGCCAATGATGAAAGACCAAATGGAGGAGGAGCCAAGATGGCCGCATAGGAAAAGCTCTGGTCTACAGCTCTCAGCGTGATTGATGCAGAAGATGGGTGATTTCTGCATTTCCATCTGAGGTACTGGGTTCATCTCACTAAGGATTGCCAGACAGTGGGTACAGGACAGTGGGTGCAGCACACCACGTGCAAGCTGAAGCAGGATGAGACATTGCTTCACTTGGGAAATGCAAGGGGTCAGGGAATTCCTTTTCCTAGTCAATGAAATGGGTGACAGACAGCACCTGGAAAATCGGGTCACTCCCACCCTAATACTGTGCTTTTCCTACAGGCTTAACAAATGGCACACCAAGAGATTATATCCCACACCTGGCTTGGAGGGTCCTATGCCCACAGAGTCTTGCTGATTGCTAGCACAGCAGTCTGAGATCAAACTGCAAGGCGGCAGCGAGGCTGGGGGAGGGGCACCTGCCCTTGCCCAGGCTTGATTAGGTAACCAAAGCAACCAGGAAGCTCGAAGTGGGTGGAGCCCACCACAGTTCAAGGAGGCCTTCCTGCTTCTGTAGGCTCCACCTCTGGGGGCAGGGCACAGACAAACAAAAGACAGCAGTAACATCTGCAGACTTAAATGTCCCTCTCTGACAGCTTTGAAGAGAGTAGTGGTTCTCAAGGCACGCAGCTGGACATCTGAGAAAGGGCAGACAGCCTCCTCAAATGGGTCCCTGACCCCAAGCAGCCTAACTCAGAGGCACCACCCAGTAGGGGCAGACTGACACCTCATACGACCGGGTACTCCTCTGAGACAAAACTTCCAGAGGAACGATCAGGCACCAGCATTTGCAGTTCACCAATATCCGCTGTTCTACAGCCACTGCTGTTGATACCCAGGCAAACAGGGTCTGGAGTGGACCTCTAGCAAACTCCAACACACCTGCAGCTGAGGGTCCTGTCTGTTAAAAGGAAAACTAACAAACAGAAAGGACATCCACTCAAAAACCCATCTGTATGTCACCATCATCAAAGACCAAAAGTAGATAAAACCACAAAGATGGGGGAAAAACAGAGCAGAAAAACCGGAAACTCTAAAAAGCAGAGCACCTCTCCTCCTCCAAAGGAACGCAGCTCTTCAACAGCAACAGAACAAACCTGGATGGGAAATGCCTTTGACGAGTTCAGAAAGAAGGCTTCAGAAAATGAAACTACTGCGAACTACAGGAGGAAATTCAAACCAATGGCAAAGAAGTTAAAAACTTTGAAAAAACTTAGACGAAAGGATACCTAGAATAACCAATGGAGAGAAGTCCTTAAAGGAGATGATGGAGCTGAAAGCCAAGGCTTGACAACCACGTGAAGAATGCAGAAGCCTCAGGAGCTGATGTGATCAACTGGAAGAAAGTGTATCAGTGATGCACAATGAAATGAATGAAATGAAGCCAGAAGAGAAGTTTAGAGAAAAAAGAATAAAAAGAAACGAACAAAGCCTCCAAGAAATAGGGGACTATGTGAAAAGACCAAATCTACATCTGATTGGTGTACATGAAAGTGATGGGGAGAATGGAATCAGTTGGAAAACACTCTGCAAGATATTATCCAGGAGAACTTCCCCAATCTAGCAAGGCAGGCCAACATTCAGATTCAGGAAGTACAGAGAACGCCACAAAGATTCTCCTCGAGAAGAGCAACTCCAAGACACGTAATTGACAGAAACACCAAAGTTGAAATGAAAGAAAAAATGTTAAGCACAGCCAGAGAGAAAGGTCAGGTTACCCACAAAGGGAAGCATATCAGACTAACAGCGGATCTCTCAGCAGAAACTCTACAAACCAGAAGAGAGTGGGGGCCAATATTCAACATTCTTAAAGAAAAGAATTTTCAACCCAAAATTTCATATCCAGACAAACTAAGTTTCATAAGTGAAGGAGAAATAAAATACTTTACAGACAAGCAAATGCTGAGAGATTTTGTCACCACCAGGCCTGCCCTAAAAGAGCTCCTGAAGGAAGCACTAAACATGGAAAGGAACAACCAGTACCAGCCACTGCAAAAATATGCCAAAATGTAAAGATCATCAAGGCTAGGAATAAACTGCATCAACTAATGAGCAAAATAACCAGCTAAAATCATAATAACAGGACCAAATTCACACATAACAATATTAACTTTAAATGTAAATGGGGTAAATGATCCAATTAAAAGACACAGACTGGCAAATTGGATAGAGTCAAGACCCATCAGTGTGCAGTATTCAGGAAACCCATCTCATGTGCAGAGACACACATGGACTCAAAATAAAGGGATGGAAGAAGATCCACCAAGAAAATGGAAAACAAAAAAAGGCAGGAGTTGCAATCCTAGCCTTGGATAAAACAGACTCTAAACCAACAAATGTGGAAAGAGACAAAGAAGGCCATTACATAGTGGAAAAGGAATCAATTCAACAAGAAGAGCTTACTATCCTAAATATATATGCACCCAACACAGGAGCACTCAGATTCATAAAGCAAGTCCTTAGTGAACAACAAAGAGACTTAGACTCCCACACAATAATAATGGGGGAATTTAACACCCCACTGTCAACATTAGACAGACCAACGAGACAGAAAGTCAACAACGATACCCAGCAATTGAACTCAGCTCTGCACCAAGCAGACCTAATAGACATCTACAGAATTATCCACCCCAAATCAACAGCATACACATTTTTTTCAGCATCACCCCACACCTATGCCAAAATTGACCACAGAGTTGGAAGTAAAGCACCCCTCAGCAAATGGAAAACAATAGAAATTAAAACAAACAGTCTCTCAGATCACAGTGCAATCAAAGTAGAACTCAGGATTAAGAAACTCACTCAAAACCGCTCAACTACATGGAAACTGAACAACCTGCTCCTGAATCACTACTGGGTACATAACAAAATGAAGGCAGAAATAAAGATGTTCTTTGAAACCAATGAGAACAGACACAACAAACCAGAATCTCTGGGAAACATTCAAAGCAGTGTGTAGAGGGAAATTTATAGCACTAAATGCCCAAAAGAGAAAGCAGGAAAGATCCAAAATTGACACCCTAACATCACAATTCAAAGAACTACAGAAGCAAGAGCAAACATATTCAGAAGCTAGCAGAAGGCAAGAAATAACTAAGATCAGAGCATAACTGAAGGAAATAGAGAGACAAGAAACCCTTCAAAAAATTAATGAATCCAGGAGCTGGCTTTTTGAAAAGATTAACAAAATTAATAGACCGTTAGCAATACTAATAAAGAAGAAAAAAGAGAAGAATCAAGTAGATGCAATAAAAAATGATAAAGGGGATATCACAACTGATCCCACAGAAATACAAACAACTACCGTAAGAGAATACTACAAACACCTCTATGCAAACAAACTAGAAAATCTAGAAGAAATTGATAAATTCCTCGACACATACATCCTCCCAAGATTAAACCAGGAAGAAGTAGAATCTCTGAATAGACCAATAACAGGCTCTGAAATTGTGGCAATAATCAGTAGCTTACCAACCACAAAAAGCTCAGGACCAGATGGATTTACAGCCGAATTCTACAAGAGGTACAAAGAGGAACTGGTACCATTCCTTCTGAAACTATTCCAATCAATAGAAAAAGAGTGAATCCTCCCTAACTCATTTTTTGAGGCCAGCATCATCCTGATACCAAAGCCGGGCAGAGACACAACAAAAAAAAAGAATTTTAGGCCAATATCCTTGATGAACATTGATGCAAAAATCCTCGATAAAATACTGGCAAAACGAATCCAGCAACACATCAAAAAGCTTATCCACCATGATCAAATGGGCTTCATCCCTGGGATGCAAGGCTGGTTCACCATACACAAATCAATAAATGTAATCCAACACATAAACAGAACCAAAGACAAAAACCACATGAGTATCTCAAGAGATGCAGAAACGGCCTTTGACAAATTTTTAACAACCCTTCATGCTAAAAACTCTCAATAAATTAGGTATTGATGGGATGTATATCAAAATAATAAGAGCTATCTATGGCAAACCCACAGCCAATATCATATTGAATGGGCAAAAACTGGAAGCATTCCCTTTGAAAACTGGCACAAGACAGGGATGCCCTCTCTCACCACTCCTATTCAACATAGTGTTGAAAGTGTTGGCCAGTGCATCTGGCAGGAGAAGGAAATAAAGTTTATTCAATTAGCAAAAGAGGAAGTCAAATTGTCCCTGTTTGCAGATGACAGGATTGTATATCTAGAAAATCCTATTGTCTCAGCCCAAAATTTCCTTAAGCTAATATGCAAATCCAGCAAAGTCTCAGGATACAAAATCAATGTGCAAAAATCCCAAGCATTCTTATACATAAATAACAGACAAACAGAGAGCCAAATCATGAGTGAACTCCCATTCACAATTGTTTCAAAGAGAATAAAATACCTAGGAATCCAACTTCCAAGGGACATGAAGGACCTCTTCGAGGAGAACTACAAGCCACTGCTCAATGAAATAAAAGAGGATACAAACAAATGGAAGAACATTCCATGCTCATGGGTAGGAAGAATCAATATTGTGAAAATGGCCATACTGCCCAAGGCAATTTATAGATTTAATGGCATCCCGGTAAAGCTACCAATGACTTACTTCACAGAATTGGAAAAAACTACTTTAAAGTTCATATGGAACCAAAAAAGGGCCTGCATTGCCAAGTCAATCCTAAGCCAAAAGAAGAAAGCTGGAGGCATCACACTACCTGACTTCAAACTATACTACAAGGCTACAGTAACCAAAACAGCATGGTATTGGTACCAAAACAGAGATATAGATCAATGGAACAGAACAGAGCCCTCAGAAATAATGACACATATCTACAACTATCTGATCTTTGACAAACCTGACAAAACCAAGCACTGGGGAAAGGATTCACTGTTTAATAAATGGTGCTGGGAAAACTGGCTAGCCATATGTAGAAAGCTGAAACTGTATCCCTTCCTTACACCTTATACAAAAATCAATTCAAGATGGATTAAAGACTTAAACGTTAGACCTAAAACCATAAAAACCCTAGAAGAATACCTAGACATTACCATTCAGGACATAGGCATGGGCAAGGACTTCATGTCTAAAACACCAAAAGCAATGGCAACAAAAGCCAAAATTGACAAATGGGATCTAATTAAACTAAAGAGCTTCTGCACAGCAAAAGAAACTACCATCAGAGTGAACAGGCAATCTACAGAATGGGAGAAAATTTTCACAACCTACTCTTCTGACAAAGGGCTAATATCCAGAATCTACATTGAACTTAAACAAATTTACAAGAAAAAAACAAACAACCCCATCAAAAAGTCGTCGAAGGACATGAACAGACACTTCTCAAAAGAAGACATTTATGCAGCCAAAAAACACATGAAAAAATGCTCATCATCACTGGCCATCAGAGAAATGCAAATCAAAACCACAATGAGATACCATCTCACACCAGTTAGAATGGCAATCATTAAAAAGTCAGGAAACAACAGGTGCTGGAGAGGATATGGAGAAATAGGAACACTTTTACACTGTTGGTGGGACTGTAAACTAGTTCAACCATTGTGGAAGTCAGTGTGGCGATTCCTCAGGGATCTAGAACTAGAAATATCATTTGACCCGGCCATTCCATCACCGGGTATATACCCAAAGAATTATAAATCATGCTGTTATAAAGATACATGCACACATATGTTTATTGTGGCACTATTCACAATAGCAAAGACTTGGAACCAACCCAAATGTCCAACAATGATAGACTGGATAAAGAAAATGTGTCACATATACACCATGGAATACTATGCAGCCATAGAAAATGATGAGTTCATGTCCTTTGTAGGGACATGGATGAAGCTGGAAACCATCATTCTCAGCAAACTATTGCAAGGACAAAAAACCAAACACCGCATGTTCTCACTCATAGGTGGGAATTGAACAGTGAGGTTACATGGACACAGGAAGGGGAATATCACACTCTGGGGACTGTTGTAGGGTGGGGGGAGGGGGGAGGGATAGCATTAGGAGATATACCTAATGCTAAATGACAAGTTAATGGTTGCAGCACACCAACATGGCACTTGTATACATACATAAAAATCCTGCACATTGTGCACATGTACCCTAAAATTTAAAGTATAATAATAATAAAATAGTATAAAATGAAAACTTTCTTTTCATTCAGCAGTTTGGAAATACTGTTTTTGTAGAGTCTGCCAAGGGATACTTGGGAGCACATTGAGGCCTATGATGAAAAAGAAAACATCTTCAGATAAAAACTAGAAGGAAGGTTTCTGAGAAACCACTTTCTGATATGTGCATTGATCTGTCAAAGTTAAAGCTTTTTTTTTCTTTCAGAAATATGGAAACAAAGTTTTTATAGAATCTGTGAAGGGATACTTGGGAGCATCCTGAAGTCAATGCTGGAAAAGGAACTACCTTCAGTTAAAAAATAGGAAGAAGCTTTCTGAGGTACTGCTTGTTGATGTCTGCATTCATCTCATAGTGTTAAACATTTCTTTGGATACGGCAGTTTAAAACACTGTATTTGTGTATTCTGCGAATGAGCCCTTGGGAGCTCACTGAGCATAATGGAGAAAAAGCGATTATTCCAGGATAAAAACTAGAAGGAAGCTATCTGAGAAACCACTTTTTGATGTGTCAATTATCTCATAAAGTTAAACCTTTCTTTTCATTCAGCAGTTTGTAAACACTATTTTCTAGAATTTGTGAAGCGATGTTTGGGAACAGATTGAGGCCTATGGTGAAAAAGGAAACATCCTCAGATAAAAAGTTGAAAGAAGCGTTCTGAGAAAATGCTTTGTGATGTGTGCATTCATCTCACTGAGTTAAACCTTTCTTTTCATTCAGCAGTTTGGAAACACTGTTTTTGTGTAATCTGCAAAAGGACTCTTGGGAGTGCATTGAGGCCTAAGGTGAAGAAGGAAACATCTTGAGATAAAAACTAGAAAGAAACTTTCTGAGAGATTGCTTTGTGATGTGTGCAATCGTATCACAGAGTTAAATCTTTCTTTTTATTCAGCAGTATGGAAACACTGTTTTTGTCCATTTTGCAAATGGACATTTTGGAGCTCATTGAGACCAATGGCAAAAAAACTAATATCCCAGGATAAAAACTAGAAGGAAGGTACCTGAGAAACTGCTTTGTGATGTGTGTTTCAGGAAGTCAGGGAACCCTGAATGGAGGGACCAGCTGAAGCCATGGGAGAAGAACATACTTTCAATATAATCCTACAGGGAAACCATGCCCTAAAAATTTTGAGGGCCCATGTAAAACTTTAATTTGGGAAGATTGTGTTAACTCACATGCAGTAATATTAAAAAATGACTCATATGGTCTAGTAATAGACTGGGCACCAAAACGTTATGTAAAAAACTATTGCTCCTCTGGTGGAAAGGATTGCCTGGAGTCTACTTATTTTGTTTCTTATTGGGAGAATGTAATGCCACTGCGAGAATGGCATTACACAAATCCATTGAAATGGCTCATTTTGTTAATGATTGGCAAGCCAATTCCACCCAAATTTGGAATTCTCAACAAGGCATTGATCAAAAATTGGCTAATTTAATTAATGATTTAAGACAGTCTGTTACTGGCTTGGAGATCAGGGAGTGAGTCTCAAACATTACATGCAAATGAAGTGCAATTGGAATACTTTGGATTTCTGTATCACCCCGTATTCCTATAACAAGACTGACCATTCATGGGAAATGGTTAATGGACACCTTCTGGGTAGGGAAGATAATTTATCATTGGACATAACAAAATTAAAGAAACAAATTTTTGAAGCCTTTCAAGCTCTTATCCATTGTGCCTGGAGTTGAGGCATTACTTCAGGTGGCAGAAAATATTTATGGACTAAACCCCACGACTTGGATTAAGTCTATTGGGGGCTCCACTGTACTAAGTTATAGAATCATGTTTCTCTGTTTAATCGGCTTGTTTTTAGTGTGCCATACCAGTCAAAGTATCCTGCATCAAAATCGGGGAATGAACAAGATTTCATCGCCATGGCACATTTATATAAAAATAAAGGGAGAGATGTTATGGGAAGTCAGGGACCCCGAACAGAGGGACTGGCTGAAGCCATGGCAGAAGAACATAAATTGTGAAGATTTCATGGACATGTATTAGTTACCCAAATTAATACTTTTATAATTTCTTATGCCTGTCTTTACTGCAATCTCTGAACATAAATTGTGAAGATTTCATGGACACTTATCACCTCCCCAATCAATACCCTTGTGATTTCCTATCCCTGTCTTTACTTTAAATCCTGCCAACTTCATAAGCTGAAGGAGATGAATGTCACCTCAGGACCCTGTGATGACTTCGTTAACTGCGCAAATTGTTTAAACAGTATGAAATCTGGGCAACTTAAGAACAGGATAACAACAATGTTCAGGGAACAAGGGAGATAACCTTCAAGTCTGGCTGCCTGTGGGCCAAGTGGAACAGATCCATATTTCTCTCCTTTCAAAAGCATATAGGAGAAATATCACTGCATTCTTTTCCTTAGCAAGGAACATCCCTGAGAAAGAGAATGTGTCCCTAAGGGGAGGCCTCTAAAATGGCCGCTTTAGGGACAGCTGTCTTTTACGGCCATTGATAAGGCATGAAATAAGCCCTGACCCCTGTAGGGTTCCCAGGCTTATTAGGATGAGGAAATTCCCTCCTAATAAATTTTGGTAAGACCAGTTCTCTGCTCTCAAACTCCGTCTCCTGATAAGACATTATAAAAGACAATGCATGCCCAAAACTTCATTGCAATTTTAATTTTGCCCTGGTCCTGTGGACCTGTGATCCATTTTCCCTGTCTCCATTTACCTTGTGATATTTTATTTGAGTGTGAAACATGTGATCTCTGTGACCCAAACCATATTCATATACTCCCTCCCCTTTTGAAAATCATTAATAAATACTTCCTGGTTTTGCGGCTTGAGCGACATCACAGAACCTGCTGACATGTGATATCTTCCCCAGATACCCAGCTTTAAAATTTCTCTCTTTTGCACTGTTTCCCTTTATTTCTCAGACCAGCCAAAACTTAAGGAAAATAGAAAAGAGCCTACTTGAATTATCAGGGGCAGGTTCTCCCAATAGATGTGTTCTTTCATCTTGCAGAATTAAATTTTTCTTTTCATTCAGCAGTTTGGAAACACTGTTTTTGTAGAATCTGTGAAGGAATATTTGGGAGTTCATTGAGGCCAATGGTGAAAAAGCGAATATCCCAGGATAAAAACTAGAAGGAAGCTATCTGAAAAACCTCTTTGTGATGTTTGCAATCATCTGGCAGACTTAAACCTTTCCTTCATTCAGCAGTTTGGAAACACTGTTTTTGTAGAATCCACAAAGTTTTATTTGGGAGAGCATTGAGGCCTATGGTGCAAAAGAAAACTCCTTTAGGTAAAAATTAGAAATAAGCTTTCTGAGAAACTGGATTGTTATGTGCTCATTTATCTCAAAGACTTTAACATTTCTTTTGATTCAGCAGTTTGGAAACACTCTTTTTGTCCATTCTCTGAGGGACATTGTAAGCTTTTTGAGGAAAATGGCAAAAAAGCAAATATCCCAGAATAAAAACCAGCAGGAAGCTATCTGAGAAACTGCTTTGTGATGTGTGCATTCAGCTGGTAGAGTTAACCCTTTCTTTTCATTCAACTGTTTGAAAACACTCTTTTGTAAAATCTGTGAAGGGATATTTGGTAATTCATTGCGGTCTATGGTGAAAAAGGAAACAACTTCAGATAAAAACTAGAAAGAAGCTTTCTGGAAAACTACTTTGTGATGTGTGCATTCATTGCAAAGAGTTAAACCTTTCTTTTTTTAGGCAGTTTGGAAACACTATTTTTGTTTATTCTGCAAATGGACATTTGGGAGCCCTTTGAGGCCAAAGGCAAAAAAGCAAGTATCCCAGGATTAAAACTACAAGGAAGATTTCTGAGACACCACTTTGTGATTTGTGCATTCACCTTGTGGAGTTAAAATTTTCTTTATATTCAGCAGTTTGGAAACACTGTTTTTGTCCATTCTGCAAATGGACACTTAGGACCTCCTTGAGGCTAAGTATGAAAAATTGAATATCCCAGGATAAAAAGTAGAAGGAAGCTATCTGGGAAACAGCTTTGTGCTGTATGCATCCATTTTGCAGACTTAAATCTTTCTTTTCATTCAGCAGTTTGGAAACACTGTTTTTGTCCATTCTGTGAATGGACTTTTGGGAGCTCTTTGAGAACTATGGTGAAGAAGGAAACACCTTCAGAGAGAAACTAGAAAGAAGCTCTCTGAGAATCTCTTTTCTGTTGTGTGCATTCATCTCACAGAATTAAACCTTTCTTTTGGTTCAGCAGTTTGGAAACACTATATTGTCCATTCTGCAAATGGACATTTTTGTGCTCATTGAGGCCAATGGCAAAAAAGCGAATATCCCAGGATAACTATAAGGAAGCTACCTGAGAAATCATTTTGAGATGTATGCATTCTTCTGGCAAAGGTAAACCTTTCTTTTCATTCAGTAGTTTGGAAACACTGTTTTTGTAGAATCCACAAAAGGATATTTTGGAGTGCTTCGAGACCTATTGGGAAAATGGAAACATTTTCAGATAAAAACTAGAAGGAATCCATCAGTGAAACCTCTTTGTGATGTGTGCATTCATCTCACAGAGTTAAACCTTTCTTTGGATTCAACAATTTGGAAACACTGTTTTTGTACATTCTGCGAATGGACATTTTGGAGCTCATTGAGGCTAATGGTGCAATGGTGAATATCCCAGGATAAAACTTTAAGGAAACTATCTGAGAAACCACTTTGTGATGTGTGCATTCATCTCACAGAATTAAACATTTTCTTTCATTCCACAGTTTGGAAACACTGTTTTTGTAGAATCTGTGAAGAGATATTTGGGAGAGCATTGAGGCCTATGTTGAAAAAGAAAATATCTTCAGATAAAAACTATAATGAAGCTTTCAAAGAAACTTCTTTGTGGTGTGTGCATTCATCTCAGAGAGTTAAACCATTCTTTTGAATGACTGGAAACACTCTTTTTCTCCATTATGCCAAGGGACATTAGGAACCTCAATGAGGCCATTGGTGAAAAAGTGGTTATCTCAGGGAAAAAAAAAAACTAGAAGAAAGCTATCGGTGAAACTGCTTTGTGATATGTGCATTTATCTCTCAGAGTTAAACCTCTCTTTTCATTCTGTAGATTGGAAACATTGTTTTTGTAGAATCTGTGAAAGGACATTTGGGACCTCTTTGAGGCCAACGGTGAAAGTGAATATCCCAGGATAAAAACTAGAAGAAAGCCATCAGTGAAACCTCTTTGTGATGTGTACATTCATCTCACAAAGTTAAACCTTTCTTTGGATTCAGCAATTTGGAAACACTGTTTTTGTACATTCTGGAAATGGACATTTGGGAGCTCATTGAGGCCAATGGCATAAAAGCGATTATCCCTGGATAAAAACTAGAAGGAAGCTATCTGAGAAACTGCTTTGTGATACATGCATTTATCTCACAGAGTTAAACCACTCTTTTCATTGAGCAGATTGGAAACTTTTTTTTTAGAATCTGCGAAAGGTTATTTGGAACCTCATTGAGGCCAAAGGCAAACAAGCAAATATCCCAGGATAAAAAATAGAAGGAAGCTATCTGAGAATCTGCTTTGTGATGTGTGCATTGTTCTTGCAGAGTTAAACCTTTCTTTTCATTCAGCAGTTTGGAAAAACTGTTTTTGTAGAATCTGCGAAAGGATATTTTGGAGTGCTTTGATTCCTATGGTTAAAAGGAAAACATCTTCAGATAAAAACTAGAATGAAGCTTTCTGAGAAACTGCTTTGTCATGTATGCATTTATTTCATAGAGTTAAAACGGTCTTTGGATTCAGCAGTCTGGAAAGACTGTTTTTGTCCATTCCGTGAATAAACATAGAGGAGTTCACTGAGGCCAATGGTGAAAAACCAAATATCCCAGCATAAAAACTAGAAGGAAGCTATTTGAGAAAGTGCTTTGGGATGTGTACATGCATCCTGCAGATGCCAACTTTTGTTTTCATTCAGCAGTTTGGAAACACTGTTTTTGTAGAATCTGTGAAGGGATATGTTGGAGAACAATGAGGCCTATGGTGAAAAAGGAAACATCTTAAGATAAAAACTAGAAAGAAGATGTCTGAGTAATTACTTTGTGATGTGTGTATTCATCTCACAGAGTTAAACATTTCTTTTGATTCCGCAATTTGGAAAAATTCTTTTTGTCCATTCTGCAAAGGGACTTAAGGTAGCTCAATGAGGTCAATGGTGAAAAAGTGGATATCCCAGGATAAAAATAGGAAGAAAGTTATCTAAGAAACCATCTGTGATGTGTGCATTCCTCTCAAAGAGGCAATACTTTCTTTTCATTCAGCAGTTTGGAAACACTGTTTTTGTAGAATCTGCAAAACATATTTTTGAGTGCATTGAGGCCAATGATGAAAAACTAAATATCTTGAGATAAAAAAAGAAAGAGGCTTTCTGAGAAATTGCTTTGTTGTGTGTGCATTCATCTCACAGAGGTAAAACTTTCTATTGATTCAGCAGTTTGGAAACACTGATATTGTATAATCTGTGAAGGGATATTTGGGAGTGCTTTGAGGCCTACTGTGAAAAAGAAATTGTCTTCACATAAAAACCATAAATAATCCTTCTGAGAAACTACTTTGTGATGTGTGCATTCATCTCACAGAGTTAAAACTTTCTTTGATTCAGCAATTTGGAAATTATGTTTTTCTTCATTCTGTGATTGAACATTTTGGAGCTCATTGAGACCAATGAGGAAAAAGCAAATATCCCAGGATAAAAAACTAGAAGGAAGTTATCTGAGAAACCACTTTGTCATGTGCACATTCATCTCATGGAGTTAAAACTTTCTTTTCATTCAACAGTTTGGAAACACTGTTTTTTTACAATCTTTGAAGAGATATTTGGGAACACATTGAGGGCAATGGAGAAAAAGAAAATATCTTCAGATAAAAACTAGAAAGAAGCTATCTGAGAAACTGTTTTGTGATGTGTGCATTCATCTCACAGAGTTCAACATTTCTTTTGATTCAGCAGTTTGGAAACATGGTTTTTGTCCATTCTGCAAATGGACATTTGTGAACTCATTGAGGTCAAGGCAAAAAAAAGGCAATATCCCAGGATAAAAACTAGAAGGAAGGTATCTGAGAAACTGCATTGCAATGTGCACATTTATCTCATAGGGTTAAAACATTATTTTCATTCAGCAGTTTGGAAACACTGTTTCTGTACAAACTACAAAGGTACATTTGAGAGCACACTGAGGTCCATGGTAAAAGAGAAAATATTTTCAGATAAAACTGGAAAGCAGCTTTCTGAGAAACTGCTATGAGGTTTGTGCATTCATCTCACAGAGTTCAACATTTATTTTGATTCAGCAGATTGGAAACACTGTTTTTGTCCATTCTGCAAATGGACATTTGGGAGCTCATTGAGGCCAATGGCAAAGAAGTGAATATCCCAGGATAAAATCTAGAAGGAAGCCTTCTGAGAAACCACTTTGTGATGTGTGCATTCATCTTGAAGAGTAAAATTTTCTTTTCATTCAGCAGTTTGGAAGCACTGTTTTTGAAGAATCTGCAAATTGATATTTGGGAGTTCATTGAGGCCTATGGTGAAAAACAATATATCATCAGATCAAAACTACAAAGAAGTTTTATGAGAAACTGCTTTGTGATCTGTGCATTCGTCTCATAGAGTTAAACTTTGATTTGATGCAGCAGTTTGGAAACACTGATTTTGTAAAGTCCACCAATTGATATTTGGGAGTGCATTGAGGCCTATGGTGAAAAGGAAAATATCTTCAGATAAAAAATAGAAAGAAGCTTTCTGAGAGCCTGCTTTATGATGTGTGCATTTATGTCAAAGCATTAAAACTTTCTTTTTTTCAGCAATTTGGAAACCCTGTTTTTATCCATTCTGCATATGGACATTTTGGGCTCTTTGAGGCCAGTGGCAAAAACGTGAATATCCCAGGATGAAATCTAAAAGGGAGCTATCTGAGAAACCACTTTATGATGTGTGTATTCATCTCACAGAGTTAAAAATTTCTCTTCATTCAGCTGTTTGGAAGCACTGTTTTTGTAGGATCTGTGAAGTGATATTTTGGAGTGCATTGAGGCCTGTGGTGAAAAACAATATATCTTCAGATAAAAACTAGAAAGAAGTTTTCTGAGAAACTGCTTTGTGTTGTGTGCATTCATCTCATGTAGTTAAACTTTTCTTTTGAGTCAGCATTTTGGAAACACTGGTTTTGTCCATTCTGGAGTGGACGTTTGGGAGCTCATTAAGGCCAGTGTCAAAAAAGCAAATATCCCAGGATAAAACTAGAAGGAAGTTATCTGAGAAACCGCTATCTGTTGTGTGCGTTCATCTTGCAGACTTAAACTATTCTATTCATTAAGCAGTTTAGAAACTTTTTTTTTGTAAAATCTGCAAAGGGATATTTGAGAGCACAATGATACCTAAGGGGAAAAATAAAATATCTTCAGTTTAAAACCTGAAAGAAGCTTTCTGGGAAATTACTTTGTGATGTGTGCATTCACCTCAGAGAGTTAAACATTTATTTTCATTCAGCCGTTTGAAACACTCTTTTTGTCCATTGTGCAAATGGACATTTGTGATCTCATTGAGGCCAATCATGAAAACGAGAATATCCCAGGATAAAAACTAGAAGGATTCAATCTGAGGAAACGATTTTTGATGTGTGCATTCATCTCCTAGGATTAAAAGTTTCTTTTCATTCAGCAGATTGGAAACACTCTTTTTGTAGAATCTGTGAAGGGAGAGATTTGAGGCCTATTTTGCAAAAGAAATTATCTTCAGATAAAAACTATTAAGAAGCTTTCTGAGAAACTGCCTTGTGATGTGTGCATTCATCTCACGGATTTATACCTTTGTTTTGATTGAGCAGTTTGGAAACACTGTTTTTGTCCATTCTGTGGAAACATTGTTTTTGTTCATTCTGTGAATGGACATTTGGGAGCTCAATGAGCCCAAAGGTGAGAAAGTGAATATCCCAGGATACAATCTAGATGAAAGCTTTCTGAAAAACTGCTTTGTGATGTATGCGTTCATCCTACCTAGTTAAACTGTACTTTTTATTCAGTAGTTTGGAAACATTGTTTTTTCATAATTCAAAAGGATATTGGGGAGCACATTGAGGTCCATGTTGAAAAAGGAAATATCACCAGATAAAAACTACAAAGAAGCTTTCTGAGAAACTAGTTTGTCGTGTATGCTTTCATCTCACAGAGTTAAAACTTTCTTTTGATACAGCAGTTTGGAAACACTGTTTTTGTTCATTCTGTGAATGGACATTTGTGAGCTCATTGAGGCCAAAGTCCAAAAAGTTAATATCCCAGGACAAAACTAGAAGGAAGCTATCTGTGAAACAGATTTGAGATGTTTCCATTTATCTCCCAGAGATAAACATTTCTCTTCATTCAGCAGTTTGGAAACACTGTTATTTTAGGATCTGCGAAGGGATATTTGGGAAAGCATTCAGACCTATGGTGAAAAAGAAATCATTTTCAGATAAAAACTAGAAAGAAGCTTTCTGAGAAAGTACTTTGTGATGTGTGCATTCATCTAACAGAGTTAATCCTTTCTTTTGATTCACTAGTTTGGAGGCACTCTTTTTGTCCACTCTGCGAATGAACATCTGTGAGCTCATTGAGGAAATGGTGAGTAAGCAAGTACCCCAGAATAAAAGACAAAAGGAAGCCATCACAGAAACTGCTTTGTGATGTGAGCATTCATTTCGCTGAGTGAAACCTTTCTTTTCATTCAGCAGTTGGGAAAAACTGTTTTTGTCCATTCTGTGAATGGACATTTTGGAGCTCATTGAGGGCAATGGCAAAAAAGCCAATATCCCAAGAAAAAAACTTGAAGGAATTTACCTGAGAAACCACTTTGTGATGTGTGTATTCGTTTCGAAGAGTGAAACCTGTCTTTTCTTTTTTTTTCTTTTTTTTTTTGTTTTTGTTTTTGTTTTTTTTTAATATACTTTAAGTTTTAGGGTACATTTGCACAACGTGCAGGTTAGTTACATATGTATACATGTGCCATGTTGGTGTGCTGCACCCATTAACTCATCATTTACATTAGGTATATCTCCTAATGCTATCCCTCCCCCCTCCCCCAACCCCACAGCAGTCTCCAGTGTGTGATGTTCCTTCTTTTCATCCAGCTCTTTTGAAACAGCTATCTGAGAAACTGCTTTGTGATATATGCATTGATCTTGCAGAGTTAAACCTTTCCTTTCATTCAGCAATTTTTAAACACACTTTTGTAGAATCTGTGAAGGGATATTTGGGAGTGAATAGAGGCCTATGGTGAAAAGGAAAATACAGATAAATACTGGAGGGAAGCTATATCAGAAACCGCTTTGTAATGTGTGCATTCATCTCCCAGAGTTAAACCATTCTTTTCATTCAGCAGTTTGAAAACACTTTTTTTGTAGAATTGGCAAATGGACTTTTGGGAGTTCATTCATGCCAATGGTGAAAAAGCGACTATCCCAGGATAAAATCTAGAAGGAAGCTATCTGAGAAACTACTTGTGATGTGCGCACTCAGCTCATGGAGTTAAACCTTTCTTTTCACTCAGGAGTTTGGTAAAATTGTTTTTGTAGAATCTGTGAAGGGATATTGGGGACAGCATAGAGGCCTATGGTGAAAAACAAAACATCTTTAGATAAAAACTAGAAAGAATCTTTCTGAGAAAATGCTTTGTGATGTGTGAACACATCTCACAGAGTTCAACCTTTCTTTTGTTTCAGCAGTTTGGAAACACTGTTTTTATCTGTGCTGTGAATGGACATTTGGGATCTCATTGAGACCAATTGCAAAAAAGCAAGTATCCCAAGATTAAATCTAAAAGGAAGCTATCTGATTAACTGTTTTGTGATGTGTGCATTCATTTTGCAGATTTGTAACTTTCCTTTCATTTAGAGGTTTGGAAACACTATATTTGTAGATTCAGAGAAGGGATATTTGGGAGCACATTGAGTCCAATGGTGAGATAGAAAATGTCTACCTATAAAAACTACAAGGAAGCTATCAGAGATACCGTTTTGTGATGTGTGCATTCAATTCACAGAGTTAAACAGTTATTTCATTCAGCAGTTTAGAAACACTGTTTCTGTAGCATCTGCAAAGGGATATTTGGGATCTCATTGAGGCCAACATTGAAAAAGTGAATATCCAAGGAAAAAAACTAGAAGGAGGCTATCTGGGGAAACTGCTTTGTGATGTGTGCATTCATCTCACTGAGTTAAAACTTTCTTTTCATTCAGCAGTTTGGAAACCCTGTTTTTGAAGGGATATTTGGGAGCACATTTAAGCCTATGGTGAAATAGAAAATATCTTCAGATAAAAACTAGAAAGAAGCTTTGTGACATACTGCTTTGTGATGTGTGCATTCATTTCACTGAGTTAAAACTTTCCTTTGATTCAGCACTTTGGAAACATTGTTTTTTTCCATTCTGTGTGCGAATATTTGGGAGCTCATTGAGGCCAATGGCGAAAAAGTGAATATCACAGGATAAAACTAGCAGGAAGCTATCTGGGAAACCACTTTGTGATATGTGCATCCATCTCTCAGAGTTAAACATTTCTTTTCATTCAGCAGTTTGTAATCACTGTCTTTATAGTATCTCAAATGGATATTTGGGAATGCATTGGGTCCTATGAAGAAAAAATATCTTCAAATAAAAACTAGGAAGAAGAATTCTGAGAAACTGCTTTGTTATGTGAGAATTCATCTCACAGAGTAAAACACTTCCTTTGATTCAGCAGTTTGTTAACACTGTTTTTGTATATTCTGCGAATGGACTTTGGGGAGATCATTGAGGCCAATGGCGATAAAGAAAATATCCCAGGATAAAAACTAGAAGGTATCTATCTGAGAAACCACATTGTAACGTGTGCATTCATCTAGCAGATTTAAATCTTTCTTTCTATTCAGCAGTTTGGAAAAACTATATTGTAGAATCTAAGAGATATTTCATTCAGCAATTTTGAAACACACTTTTGTAGAATCTGTGAAGGGATATTCGCGAGTGAATAGAGGCCTATGGTGAAAAGGAAAATACAGATAAAAACTGAAAGGAAGCTATATCAGAAACCGCTTTGTAATGTGTGCATTCATCTCTCAGAGTTAAACCATTCTTTTCATTCAGCAGTTTGAAAACACTGGTTTTGTAGAATTGTGGCTAAGGGATATTTATGTCCCCATTGAGGGCTATGGTGAAAAACAAAATATCTTCAGATAAAAGTTAGAAAGAAGCTTTCTGAGAAACTTCTTTGTGGTGTGTGCATTCACCTCTCAGAGTTAATCCTTTCTTTTGATTCAGTAGTTTGGAGGCACTCTTTTTGTCCATTCAGCAAATGGACATCTGGGTGCTCATTGAGGCCAATGGTGAATAAGTGAATATCCCGGGATAAAAAGTTGAGGAAGGCTATCAGAGAAACTGTTTTGTGATGTGAGCATTCATTTCACAGAGTGAAACTTTCTTTTCATTCAGCAGTTTGGAAATACTATTTTTGCCCATTCTGTGAATGGATATTTTGGAGCTCATTGAGGGCAATGGCAAAGAAGACAATATCCTGGGATTAAAACTTAAAGGAATTTACCTGAGTAACCACTTTGTGATGTGTGCATTAATTTCAAAGAGTAAAACCTTTCTTTTCATCCAGCTGTTTTTAAAGAGCTATCTGAGAAACCACCTTGTGATATGTGCATTGATCTCACAGAGGTAAATCTTTCTTTTCATTCAGTGGTTTGGAATCGCAGTTTTTATAGAATCTGTGAAGGGATATTTGGGAGCAAATTGAGGCCTATGGTGAAAAAGAAAGTATAGATAAAAACTAGAAGGAAGCTATATCAGAAACCGCTTTGTGATGTGTGCATTCATCTCCCAGAGTTAAACATTTCTTTTCATTCAGCAGTTTGGAAACAGTTTTTCTAGAATCTGAAAGGGATATTTGGGATCAAATTGAGGCTTATGGTGAAAAACAAAATATCTTCAGACAAAAACTAGAAAGAAGCTTTCTGAGAAAGTGCTTTGTGATGTGTGCATTCATCTCACTGAGTTCAATCTTTCTTTTGTCACAGCAGTTTGGAAACAGTGTTTTTGTCCATTCTGAAAATGGACATTTCGGAGATCATTGAGGCCAATGGCAAAAAGCAAATATCCCAGGAAAAAAACTAGAAGGAAGTAATCTGAGAAATAGTTTGTGATGTCTGCATTCACCTCACAGAGGTTAAATTTTCTTTTCCTTCAGCAGTTTGAAAAGACTGTCTTTGTAGAATCTCCAAAAGGATATTTTGGAAAGCATTGAGGCCTATGATGAAAAACTAAGTATCTTCAGATAAAAATAAGAAAGAAGCTTTCTGAGAAATTGCTTTGTGATGTGTGCATTCATCTCACAGAGTTAAAACTTTCTATTTATTCAGCACTATGGAAACACTGATTCAGTAGAATCTGTGAAGGGATATTTGGGAGCTTTTTTAGGCCTATGGTGAAAAAGAAATTCTCTTCAGATAAAACTATAAGGAAGTTTTCTGAGAAACCACTTTGTGATATGTGCATTCATCTCACAAAGATAAACCTTTCTTTTGACTCAGCAGTTTGGAAACGCTGTTTTTGTCCCTTCTGCAAATGGACATTTTGGAGCTCATTGAGGCCAGTGGCGAAAAAACAAATATCCCTGGATAAAAACTAGAAGGAAATTATCTGAGAAACCACTTTGTCATGTGCACATTCATCTTGCAGAGTTAAAACTTTCTTTTCTTTCAACAGTTTGGAAACATTGTTTTTGTAGTATCTGTGAATGGATATTTGGGAGCAAATTGAGGCCTATGGAGAAAAAGAAAATACCTTCAGATAAAAACTTGAAAGAAGCTTTCTGAGAAACTCTTTTGTGATATGTGCATTCATCTCACAGAGTGAAACCGTTCTTTTGATTCAACGGTTTGGAAACATTGTTTTTGTCCATTCTGTGAATGCACATTTTTGAGTTCATTGAGGTCAAAGGTGAAAAAGCAAATATCCCAGGATAAAAACAAGAAGGAAGCTATCTGGTAACCGCTTTGTGATGTGTGCATTCATCTCACAGAGTTAAACCATTCTTTTCATTCAGCAGTTTGGTAACACTGCTTTTGTAGAATCTGCAAAGGGATATTTGGGAGAGTATTGTGGCCTATAGGAAAAAAAAATCTTCCGATACAAACTAGAAAGAAGCTTTGTGAGAAACTGCTTTGTGATGTGTGCATTAATCTCACAGAGTTAAACCGTTCTTTTCATTCAGCAGTTAGGAAATACTGTTTTTGTTCTTTCAGCGAATGGACATCTGGGAGCTCATTGATTCCAATGGCAAAAAAGGGAATATCCCAGGATAAAACCTAGAAGGAAGCTATATCAGAAACTGCTTTGTGATGTGTGAATTCATCTCACAGAATTCAACCGTTCTTTAGATTCAGCAGTTTGGAAACACTGTTTTTGTCCATTCTGCAAATGGACATTTGAGAACTCATTGAGGCTAATAGCGAAAAGAAGAATATCCCATGATAAAAACTAGATGGAATTTATCTGAGAAGCCACTTTGTGATATTTGCATTCATCTCGCAGAGTTCAAACTTTCTTTTCATTCAGCAGTTTGGAATACTGTTTTTGTAGAATCTGCAAAGTGTTATTTTGGAGCCCATTTAGCCCAATGGTTAAAAAATATATATCTTCAGATAAAAAGTGGACAGAAGCTTTCTGAGAAACTGCTACATGATGTGTTCATTCATCTCACACAGTTAAACCTTGCTTTTGATTCAACAGTTTTGAAACATCGTTTTTGTCCATTCTGTGAATGGACATTTGGGACCCCATTGAGGCCAGTGGTGAAAAAACGAATATCCCAGGATAAAAACTAGCAGGAAGCTGTCTGAGAAATCACTTTGAGAAGTTTGTATTCTTCTCCCAGAGTTAAATATTTCTTTTCATTCTACAGTTTTGAAGCACTGTTTTTGTACAAGCTGCGAAGGTATATTTGGGAGCACATTGAGGCCTATGTTGAAAAACAAAATATCTTCAGACAAAAACTAGAAAGAAGCTTTCTGAGAAACTCCTATGAGATTTATGCATTCAACTCACCTAGTTCAACATACCTTTTGATTCAGCAGTTTGGAAGCACTGGACATTTGGGAGCTCATTTAGGCCAATGGTGAAAAAGGGAATATCCAAGGATAAAAACTAGAAGAAAGCTTTCTGAGAAACTACTTTGTGATGTGTGCACTCATCTCACAGTGTTAAACCTTTTTTTTGATTGAGCAGTTTGGAATCACTGTTTTTATAGAATCTGCGAAGTGATATTTGGGAGCGGATTGAGAACCATGAAGAAAAACAATATATCCTCAGATAAAAAGCAGAAAGAAGTTTTCTGAGAAACTGCTTTGTGATGTGTACATTCATCTCATAGAGTTAAATTTCTGATGTGATTCAGCAGTTTGGAGTCACTGATTTAGTGGAAAGTGTGAAGGGATATTTGGGAGCACATTGAGGCCTATGGTGAAAATGAAAATACCCTCAGACAAAAACTAGAAAGAAGCTTTCTGACAAACTACTTTGTGATGTGTGCATTTACCTCACAGATTTAAAACTTTCTTATTTTTCAGCAGTTTGGAAACAGTTTTATTTTTCCAATCCGCATATGGACATTTGAGACCTCATTGAGGCCAATGAAAAAAAAGTGAATATCCTAGGATAAAAAACTAGAAGGAAGCTATCTGAGAAACCACCTTGTGATGTGTGCATTCATCTCACACAGATAAAACTTTCTTTTCAATCAGCAGTTTGGAAACACTGTTTTTGTGCAATTGATATTTTAGAGTGCATTGACGCCTATGATGAAAAACAATACATCTTAAGATAAAAACTAGAAGCAATCTTTCTGAGACACTGATTAGGGATGTGTACATTCATCTCACAGAGTTATACGTTTCTTTTAATGGGCCAGTTTGGAAACACCATTTTTGTAGGGACTGCGAAGGGATATTTTGGAGCACACTGAGGCCTATGGTGAAGCAGGATATATCTTCAGATAAAAACAAGAAATCAGTTTTCTGTGAAACTGCTTTATGATGTGTCCATTCATCTCACAGAGTTAAACCTTTCTATTGATTGAACGTTTTGAAAACACTGTTTTTGTAGGATCTATGAAGTGATATTTCAGAGCTCATTGAGGCCTATGGTGAAAAAGGAAATGTCTTCAGATAAAAACTAGAAGGAAGTGTGTGAGACACTGCTTTGTGATGTGTGCGTTCATCTTACAAAGTTACACCTTCCTTTTCATTGAGTAGTTTGGAAACACTGTTTTTGTAGAATCTGCAAAGGGATATTTGGGAGTGCATTGAGGCCAATGGTGAAAAAACTAAATAAAACTAGAAAGGAGCTTTCTCAGAAACCACTTTCTAATATTTGCATTTATCTCACAGAGTTAAAACTTTCTTTTGATTGAGAACTTTGGAAACACTGTTTTTGTAGAATCTGCAAAGTCTATTTGGGAGTGCAATGAGGCCTATGGTGAAAAAGGAAATATCTTCAGATAAAAACTAGAAAGAAGCTTTCTGAGACACGGCTTTGGGAAGAGTACATTCGTCTCACAGAGTTAAACTTTTCTTTTGATTGAGCAGTTTGGAAACACTGTTTCTGGAGAATCCGTGAAAGGATGTTAGAAACTTATGGTGAAAAATGAAATATCTTCAGATAAAAACTAGAAAGAACCTTGCTGAGAAAATGCTTTGTGATGTGTGCTTTCATTTCACAGAGTCAAAACTTACTATTGATTGAGCAATTTGGAAACACTATTTTTGTATAATCTATGAAGGAGTATTTGGGAGCCCATTGAGGCCAATGGTGAAAAAAATTATCTTCAGATTAAAACTAGATAGAAGTTTTCTGAGAAAATGATTTGTGATGTGTGCATTCATATCCCATAGTTAAAATATTCTTCTGATGGAGCTGTTTGGAAACACTGTTTTTGTAGAATCTGTGAAGGGTTATTTGGGAGCACATAGAGGCCTATGGTGAGAAAGGAAATATCTTCAGAGAAAAACTAGAATGTGCCACATTTTCTTAATCCAGTCTATCATTGTTGGACATTTGGGTTGATTCCAAGTCTTTGCTATTGTGAATAATGCCGCAGTAAACATATGTGTGCATGTGTCTTTATAGCAGCATGATTTATAGTCCTTTGGGTATATACCCAGCAATGGGATGGCTGGGTCAAATGGTATTTCCAGTTCTAGATCCCTGAGGAATCGCCACACTGACTTCCACAATGGTTGAACTAGTTTACAGTCCCACCAACAGTGTAAAAGTATTCCTATTTCTCCACATCCTCTCCAGCACCTGTTGTTTCCTGACTTTTTAATGATTGCCATTCTAACTGGTGTGAGATGGTATCTCATTGTGGTTTTGATTTGCATTTCTCTGATGGCCAGTGATGATGAGCATTTTTCCATGTGTTTTTTGGCTGCATAAATGTCTTCTTTTGAGAAGTGTCTGTTCATGTCCTTCACCCACTTTTTGATGGAGTTGTTTGTTTTTCTCTTGTAAATTTGTTTGAGTTCATTGTAGATTCTGGATATTAGCCTTTTGTCAGATGAGTTGGTTGCGAAAATTTTCTCCCATTTTGTAGGTTGCCTGTTCACTCTGATGGTAGTTTCTTTTGCTGTGCAGATGGAATACTATACAGCCATAAAAAATGATGAGTTCATGTCCTTTATAGGGACATGGATGAAATTGGAAAACGTCATTCTCAGTAAACTATCGCAAGAACAAAAAACCAAACAGTGCATATTCTCACTCATAGGTGGGAATTGAACAGTGAGATCACATGGACACCGGAAGGGGAATATCACACTCTGGGGACTGTTGTGGGGTTGGGGGAGGGGGTAGGTATAGCATTGGGAGATATACCTAATGCTAGATGACGAGTTAGTGGGTGCAGTGCACCAGCATGGCACATGTATACATATGTAACTAACCTGCACAATGTGCACATGTACCCTAAAACTTATAATAAAAAAAAGAAAAAAAAAAGAAAAACTAGAATGAAGCTTTCTGAGAAAATGCTTTGTTGTGTGTGCATTCGTCTCACAGAAATAAACCTTTCTATTTATGGTGCAGCTAGGGAACACTGCTTTTGTAGAATCTGCAAAGGCATATTTTGGAGAACTTTGAGACCTATAGCGAAAAAGGAAATATCTTCACACAGAAACTAGAAAGAAGCATTCTGAAAAACTGCTTTGTGATTTTTGCATTCATCTCAGATAGTCAAACCTTTCTTTTTGTTGTGCAGTTTGGGAACACCGTTTTTGTGGAATCTGTGAAGGGATATTTGGGAGCGCACTAAGGCCTATGGTGAAAAAGGAAATATCTTCAGATAAAAACTAGTAAGAATCTTTCTGAGAAACTGCTTTGTGATGTTTGCTTTCAGGTCAAAGAGCTAAAGCTTTCTTTTGATTGAGCAGTTAGGAAACACTGTTTTTGTAGAATCTGCAAAGGGATATTTGGAGCACTTTGAGGTCTATGGTGAAAAAGGAAATATCTTCAGAGAAAAACTAGAAATGAGCTTTCTGAGAAACTTCTTTGTGATGTGTGCATTCATCTCACCTACATAAATTTTTCTTTTGTTTGAGCAGTTTGGGAACATTGGTTTTATAGAATCTGTAAAGAGATATTTGGGAGTGCATTGAGGCCTACAGTGAAAAAGGATATAGCTTCAGATAAAAACTAGAAAGAAGGTTTCTGAGAAACTGCTTCATGATGTGTGCATTCATCTCACAGACTTAAACTTCTTTTTTGATGGAGTAGTTTGCAAACACTGTTTTTGTAGAGTCTGTGAAGGGATATTTGGGAGCACATTGATCCTATGGTGAGAAAGGAAATATCTTCAGATAAAAACTAGAATGAAGCTTTGTGAGAAACAGTTTTGGGATGTGTGCATTCATCTCAGATAGCTAAACCTTTCTTTCAATGGAGCAGTTTTGCGTAGAATCCACGAAAGGACATTTTGTTGCACATTGAGGTCTATGGGGAAAAAGGAAATATCTTCAGAGAAAAACTAGAAAGAAGTTTATGAGAAACTGCTTTGTGATGTGTAAATTCATCTCACAGAGTTAAATCTTGCTTTTGATTCAGCAGTTTAAGAAAACAGTTTGTAGAACGTGCAAAGGGATACTTGGGAACTCATTGAGGCCTATGGTCAAAAAGGAAGTATCTTCAGATAAGTACTAGAAAGAAGCTTCCTGAGAAAGTGCTTTTTGATGGGTACACTCACCTCACAGAGTTAAACATTTCTTTTGATGTAGCAGTTTGGAAACACTGCTTTTTTAGGGTCTGCGAAGGGCTATTTTGGAGCACAATGAAGCCTATGGTGAAAAAGGATATATCTTCAGATGAAAACAAGAAATAAGCTATCTGAGAAACTTCTTTTCAATGAGTCCATTCACCTCACAGAGGTAAACCTTTCTATTGATTGAGCTTTTTGAAAATATTGTAGTTGTAGGATCTGCAAAGGGATATTTTGGAGTGCATTGAAGCCTATGGTGAAAAAGTAAATATCGTCAGATAAAAACTAGAAAGAAGATTTCTGAGAAAGTGCTTTGTGATTTGTGCATGCACTTCACAGATTTAAACATTTATTTTGATTGAGCAGTTAGGAAAGAATGTTTTTGTAGAAACTGAAAAGGGATATTTTGGAGAGCATTGAGGCCTATGGTGAAAAAGGAAATACCTTCAGAGAAAAACTAGAATGAAGCTTTCTGAGAAAATGCTTTGTTGTGTGTGCATTCATCTCACAGAGATAAACCTTTCTTTTTATGGTGCAGTTTGGGAATACTATTTTTGTAGAATCTGCGAAGGCATATTTTGGAGCACTTTGAGAACTACAGTGAAAAAGGAAATATCTTCACAAAAAAACTAGAAATAAACATTCTGAAAAACTGCTTTGTGATGTTTGCAGTCACCTCAGATAGTCAAACCTTTGTTTTGGTTGTGCAATTTGGGAACACTGTTTTTGTAGAATCCATGAAGGGGTATTTGGGAGCACACTCAGGCCTATGTTGAAAAAGGAAATATCTTCAGAGAAAAACTAGGAAGAAGATTTCTGAGAAACAGCTTTGTGGATTTGTGCATTCATCTCACAAAGTTAAATATTTCTGCTGATGGAGCAGTTTGGAAATACTGTTTTTGTAGAATCTGCAAAGGGATATTTGGGTGCACCTACAGGCCTACATGAAAAGTGAAATATCTTCAGAGAAATTCTAGAAAGAATCTTTTTGAGAAACTGCTTTGTGATGTGTGCATTCATCTCACAGAGTTAAAGCTTTCTTTTCATTGAGGAGTTTGGAAACCCTGTTTTTGTAGAATCTATGAAGGGATATTTGGGAACTCATTGATGCCTATGGTTAAAAGGAAATACTTTCAGAGAATAACCAGAAAGAAACTTTCCAAGAAACTGCTTTGTGATGGGTGCATTGATCTCACAGAGTTAAAATTTCTTTTGTTGAGCAGATTGGAAACACTGTTTCTGTGGAATCAGTGAAGGGATATTTGGGAGTGCAACGAACTCCAAGGTGAAAAAGTAAATATCATCAGATAAAAACTAGAAAGAAGCTTTCTGAAAAAGTGCTTTGTAATGGGTGCATTCATCTCACAGAGTTAAACCTTTCTTTTGATGGAACAGTTTTGGGTGATTCTACAAAAGGTTATTTGAGAGTGCTTTGTGACCTACGGTGAAAAAGGAAATATCCTCAGAGAAAAACTAGAAAGAAGCTTTCAGAGAAACTGCTTTGTGGTGTGTGCACTCATCTCACAGAGTTAAACCTTTCTTTTGATGGAACAGATGGGAAAAACTATTTTTGCAGAATCTTCAAAGAGATATTTTTGGAGTGCATTGAGGCCTATGGTGAAAAAGGAAATATCTTCAGAGAAAACTTGAAAGAAGTTTTCTGAGAAACGAATTCATGGACGGGTGCCTTCATCTCAGAGAGTAAAACCTTTATTTTGATGGTGCAGTTTGGAAAGACTGTTTTTGTAGAATCTGCAAAGGCATATTTGGGAGCACATTGAGGCCTATGGTGAAATGGAAATATTTTCAGATAAAAGCTAGAAAGAAGGTTTCTGAGACACTGCTTTATGATGTGTCCATTTATCTCACAGATTTAAAACTCTTTTGACTGAGCAATTTGGAAGCACTGTTTTCCTTGAATCTGCAAAGGGATATTTGGGAGGTGCATTGAGGCCAGTGGTCAAAAAGGGAATATCTTCAGATCAAAACTAGAAGGAATCTTTATGAGAAACTGCTTTGTGATGTTTGGATTCATCTCACCAAGTTAAAGCTTTATTTCGATTGAGCAGTTTGGAAACACTGTTTTTGTAGAATCTGCAAAGGGATATTTGGGAGCACATTGAGGTCTATGGTGAAAAAGGAAATATTTTCAGATAAAAACTATAAAGAGTCTTTCTTAGACACTGCTTTGTGCTGTGTGCATCTCACAAAGCTAAGCTGTCTTTTGATTGAGCAACTTGAAACACAGTTATTGTAGAAACTTCAAAAGGATATTTGGAAGCACCCTGAGGCCTATGGTGAAAAAGGAAATACCTTCAGATAAAAACTAGAAAGAAGCTTTCTGAGCAACTGCTTTGTGATGAGTGCATTCACCTCCCAGTGTTAAGCCTTTCTTTTGATTGTGCAGTTTGGAAACACTGTTTTTGTAGAATCTGCTAAGGGATATTTGGGAACGTATTGAGGCCTATGATGAAAAACGAAATATCTTCAGATAAAGTTGTAAGTAACCATTCTGAGAAACAACTTTGTGATGTGTGTATTCATCTCATAGAGTTATATCTTCATTTTGACTGAGTAGTTTGGAAACACTGTTTTTTTAGAATCTGTGAAAGGATATTTAGGAGTGCATTGCGGCCTATGGTGAAAAAATAAATATCTTCAGAGAAAAGCTAGAAATAAATTTTCTGACAAACTGCTTTGTGATGTGCACATTCATCTCAGGGAATTAAACTTTTCTTTTGATGCAGTAGTTTGGATACATTCTTTTTGTTGTATTTGCAAAAGGATATTTAGGAGCACACTGAGGCCTATGGTGAAAAGGAAATGTCTTCAGAAAAAAACTAGAAAGAAGCTTTCTGAGTAACTGATATGTGATGTGTTCATTTATCTCACAGAAATAAAACTTTCTTTTGATTGAGCAGTGTGGAAAAACTGTTTTCATAGAATCTACATAGGGATATTTGGGAGTTCATTGAGGCTTAGGTGAAAAAGGAAACATCTTCAGAGAAAAACTACAAAGAATCTTTCAGATAAACTGCTTTCCAATGTGCTCATTCATCTCACAGAGTTGATCTTTCTTTTGCTAGAGAAGTTTGGAAACACTGTTATTGTAGAATCTGTGAAGGGATATTTCAGAGCTCACTGAGGCCTATGGTTAAAAAGGAAATAACCTCAGAGAAAAACTGGAAAGAAGCTTTCTGAGAAACTGCTTTGTGATTTGCACATTCTTCTCAGGGAATTAAACTTTTCTTTTCATGCAGCACTTTGGATACACTCTTTTTGTAGAATCTGCAAAGGGATATGTGGGAGTGCATTGAGGCCTATATTGAAAATGGAAATATCTTCAGATAAAAACTAGAAAGAAGCTTTCAGAAAAAGTGCTTTGGGAGGTGTGCATTTATCTCCCAGAGTTTAACGTTTCTTTGGATTCAACAAATTGGAAACAATGTTTTTGTTCATTCTGTGAAAGGACATTTGGCAGCTCATTGAGGTCAAGAACATAAAAGCAAATATCTGAGGATAAACACTAGAAGGAAGCTATCTGAGAAACTGCTTTGTGATAAGCACATTCATCTCACAGAGTTAAACTGCTCTTTTCATTCAGCAGATTGGAAACACTGTTTTTGTAAATTCTGTGAAGGGCTATTTGGGAGTGAATTGAGGCCTACGGTGAAAAAGGAAACATCTTTAGATAAACAACAGAAAGAAGCTTTCTGAGAAACTGCTTTGTGATGTGTGCATTCACCTTAGAGAGTTAAACCTTTCTTTGGTTCAGCAGTTTGGAAACACGGTTTTATACATTTTGCGTATTGACATCTAGGATCTCATTGATGTCAATGGTGAAAAAGCAAATTTCTGAGGGTAATAACTGGATGGAAGCTATCTGAGAAGCCACTTTTTGATGTGTGCCTTCATCTCACAGAGTTAAACCTTTCTTTTTCATTCAGCAGTTTTAAAATACTGTTTTCTTCTATTCTGTGAATGGACATTTCAGAACTCTTTGAGGCCAATGGTGAAAAGCGAATACCCCAGGATAAAAACTAGAAGGAAACCATCTGAGAAACTGCTTTGTGATGTGTGCATTCATCTCAAGGGGTTAAACCTCTTTTCATTCAGCAGATTGCAAACACTGTTTTTGAATAAACTGCAATGGGATATTTGGGAGTGCTGTGAGGCCTATGGTGAAAAAGGAAATATCTTCACATAAAAACTAGCAAGAAGCTTTCTAAAAAACTGTGTTATGATGTGTGGTTTCTTCTCACAGACTTAAACTCTTCTTTGGATTCAGCAGTTTGGAAACACTGTTTATGTCCATTCCGTGAACAGACATTTGGGAGCTCATTGAGGCCAAGGGTGAAAAAGTGAATATCCCAAGATAAATACTAGAAGGAAGGTATCTGAGAAACTGGTTTGCGATGTGTATATTCATTTCACAGACTTAAAACAATCTTTTCATTCAGCAGTTGGAAAATGTTGTTTTTGTAGAATTGCGAAGGGATATTTGTGAGCACATTGGGACGTATGGTGAAAAGGAAGCATCTTCAGATAAAAACTGGAAAGAAGCTTTCTGAGAAACTGCTTTGTGATGTGTGCATTCATCATAGAGAGTTAAAACTTTCTTTGGATTCAGCAGATTGGAAACACTGTTTTTGTCCATTCCATGAGTGGACACTTGGGAGCTCATTGAGGCCAGAGGTGAAAAAGTGAATACCCCAGGAAAAAAAACTAGAAGGAAGCTACTTGAGACAGCTCTTTGTGATGTGTGCATTCAACTAGCAATTCAAACCTTTCTTTTCATTCAGCAGTTTGGAAACACTGTTTTTGTCTCTTCTTCAAATGGACATTTTGGAGCTCATTGCAGCCAGTGGTGAAAAAGTGAATATCCCAGGGTAAAAACTAGAAGGAAGCAATCTGAGAAACCACTTTGTGATGTGTGCATTCATCTCACAAAGTTAAACTTCTGTTTTCATTCAGAAGATTGGAAACCCTGTTTTTGTAGAATCTGTGAAGGGATATTTGGGAGTGCCTTGAGGTCTATGGTGAAAAAGGAAACATCTTCAGATAAAAATAAGAAAGAATCTTTCTGATAAACTGCTTTGTGATATGTGCATTCATATCACAGAGTTAAACCTTTCTTAGGATTCAGAAGGTTGGAAAAACTCTTTTTGTCCAATCTGTGAATGGACATTTGGGAGCTTATTGAGGCCAAAGGCAAAAAGGGAATATCCCAGGGTAGGAACCAGGAGGAAGCTGTCTGAGAAACCAGTTTCTGATATGTGTGTTCATCTCGCACAGTTAAAACTTCATTTTCATTCAGCAGTTTGGATACACAGTTTTTATAGAAACTTCAAAGGGATATTTTGGATTGCATTGAGTCCTATGGTGAAAAAGGAAATATCTTCAGAAAAAAACTACAAAGAAGCTTTCAAAGAAACTGCTTTATGATGTGTGCATTCATCTCACAGAGTTAAACCTTTCTTTAGGTTTGGAAGTTTGGAAACACTGTTTTTGTCCATTCTGTGAATGGACATTTGGGAGCTTATTGAGGCCAATGGCAAAAAAGGAATTATCCCAGGACAATAACTAAAAAGAAGCTTTCTGAGAAAGTGCTTTGTGATGTTTCACTCATGTCCCAGAGTGAAAACTTTCTTTGGATTCAGCAGTTTGAAAACACTGTTTTTGTCCATTCTGCAAATGGACATTTTGGAGCTCTTTGTGGACAATGGCAAAAAAGAGAATATCCCAGGAAAAACTAGAAGGAAGCTATCTGAGAAATCGCTTTGTTATGTGTGCATTCATGTCACAGAGTTAAACTTTTCTTTTAATTCAGCAGTTTGTAAACACTGTTTTTGTAGAATCTGCAAAGGGAACTTTGGTAGTGCTTTGAGGCCTTTGGTGAAAAAGGAAACAACTTCAGAGAAGAAAAAGAAAGAAGATTTCTGAGAAACTGCTTTGTGACATGTGAATTCATCTAACAGATTTAAACCATTCCTTTGATTCTGCAATTTGGAAACACTGTTTTTTCGCTTATGTGAATGTACATTTCAGAGTCATCAAGGCCAATAGTTATAAAGGTAATATTGCATGAGAAAAACTAGAAGGAGGCTATCTGAGATACCGATTTTTGATGTATGCATTCATCACACATAGCTAAAGAGTTCTCTTCACTCAGCAGTTTGGAAAAAATGTTTTTAAAGAATCTGTGAAGAAATATTTGGGAGCGCATTGAGGTCTATGGTGAAAAAGGAAATGTTTTCAGATAAAAGCTAGAAAGAAGCTTTCTGAGAAACTGCTTTGTGATGTCTGCATTCATCTAAAAGAGTTAAACATTTCTTTGATTCAGAAGTTTGTAAAGATGGTTTTGTACATTCTGTGAACTGATATTTGGGAGCTCATTGACATGAATGGTGAAGAAATGAGTCTCTTAGCATAATAACTAGATGGAAGCTGTCTGAGAAAACCCTTTGTGATGTGCGCATTAATGTCACAGAGTTAAACTTTTCTTTTCATTCAGCAGTTTGGAAGCACTTTTTTGGTCTATTTTTCGAATGGACATTTGAGAGCTTATTGAAGCCAATGGTGAAAAAGTGAATATTGCTGGATAAAAACTAGAAGGAAGTGATCTGAGAAACCACTTTGTGATGTGTGCATTTGTCTCACAGAGTTAAAACTCTTGTCATTCAGCAGATTGAAAACACTGTTTATGTAGAACCTGCAAAGGGATATTGGGGAGCACTTTGAGGCCTGTGGTGAAAAAGGAAATATCTTCACATAATAATTAGAAAGAAGCTTTCTAAGAAACTGTTTTATGTTGTGAGCTTTCATCTCACAGAGTTAAACCCTTCTTTGGATTCAGTAGTATGGGAACACTTTTTTTGTCCATTCCATGAATTGACATTTGGTAACTCATTGAGGCCAAGGGCAAAAAGCAAATATCCCAAGATAAGTACTACAAGGAAGGTATCTGAGAAACCGGTTTGTGATGTGTGCATTCACTTGGCACAGTTGAAACTTTCTTTTCATTTAGCAGTTTGGAAACACTGTTTTTGTAGAATTGCAAAGGGATATTTGGGAGCGCAATGAGGCGTATGGTGAAAAATGAAACATCTTCAGAGAAACACTAGAAAGAAGCTTTCTGAGAAACTGCTTTGTGATGCGTGCACTCTTATCACAGAGATAAAACTTCCTCTGTATTCAGCACTTTAGAAACACAGTTTTTGTCCATTCTGCAAATGGGTGTTTGGGAGCTCATTGAGGCCAATTGCGAAAAAAGGAATATCCCAGAATAAAAACTACAAGGAAGCTATCTGAGAAACCGCTTTGTGATATGTGCATTCATCTCATAGAGTTAAACAATTCTTTTTACTCAGTAGTTTGGAAACACTGTTTTTGTAGAGTCTGCAATGGGATATTTGTTAGTGCACTGAGGCTTATAGTGAAAAAGGAAACAACTTCAGACTAGAAAGAAGCTTTCTGAGAAACTGCTTTGTGATATGTGCATTCATATCAGAGTTAAGCCTTTCTTTTTGTTCACCATTTTGGAAACACAGTTTTGTTCATTCTGAAAAAGGACTCTTGGGAGGTCATTGAGGTCAAGGACAAAAAAACAAATGCCCTAGGATAAAAACTAGAATAAATCTATCTGATAAACCGTTTTGTGATGTGTGTGTTCATCTCACAGGGTTAACACTTTCTTTTCCTTCAGCAGATTGGAAACACTGTTTTTGTAGAATCTGCAAAGGGATATTTCAGAGCACATTGAGGCCTACGGTGTAAAAGGAAACATCTTCAGATAAAAAGTAGAATGAAGCTTTCTGAGAAACTGCTTAGTGGTATGGACATTCATCTCACAGAGTGTAACATTTCTTTGGATTTAGCAGTTTGGAAACAAGGTTTTTTCTGTTCTGTGACTTGACATTTGGGATCTCATTGAGGCCAATGGTGAAAAAGTGAATATTCCAGGATAAAAACTAGAGGGAAGCTATCTAAGGAACCACTTTGTAATGGGTGCATTTATCTCACAGAGTTAAATCTTTGGGACATATTGTTTTTGTAGACTCTGTGAACGGATATTTTGGAGTGCATTGAGGCCTATGGTGAAAAAGGAATCATCTTCAGATGAAAACTAGAAAGGAGACTTCTGAGAAACTGCTTTGTGATGTGTGCATTAATCTCACAGAGTTAAGTCTTTCTTTGGATTCATCAGGTTAGAAACACTGTTTTTGTCCATTCTACAAGACTATATTTGGGAGATCATTGAGCCCAATGGTGAAAAAGGGAATATCCCAGGATAAAAACTAGAAAGAAGCTGCATAACTCTGAGAAGTGGATGCACACATCACAAAACTGTTTCTCAGACGGCTTCCTTCCAGGTTTTATCCAGGGATATTTGCATTCACCATTTCTCTTGACTGCATAAATGTCTTCTTTTGAGAAGTGTCTGTTCATGGCCTTCACCCACTTATTGATGGGGTTGTTTGTTTTTTTCTTGTAAATTTGTTTGAGTTCATTGTAGATTCTGGACATTAGCCCTTTGTCAGAAGAGTATGTTGTGAAAATTTTCTCCCATTTTGTAGGTTGCCTGTTCACTCTGATGGTAGTTTCTTTTGCTGTGCAGAAGCTCTTTAGTTTAATTAGATCCCATTTGTCAATTTTAGTTTTGATGCCATTGCTTTTGGTGTTTTAGACATGAAGTCCTTTCCCATGCCTATGTCCTGAATGGTAATGCTTAAGTTTTCTTCTAGGGTTTTTATGGTTTTAGGTCTAATGTTTAAGTCTTTAATCCATCGTGAATTAATTTTTGTATAAGGTGTAAGGAAGGGATCCAGTTTCAGCTTTCTACATATGGCTAGCCAGTTTTCCCAGCACCATTTATTAAATAGGGAATCCTTTCCCCATTGCTTGGTTTTCTCAGGTTTGTCAAAGATCAGATAGTTGTAGGTTTGTAGTGTTATTTCTGAGGGCTCTGTTCTGCTCCATTGATCTATATCTCTGTTTTGGTACTGGTACCATGCTGTTTTGGATACTGTAGCCTTGTACTATAGTTTGAAGTTAGGTAGCGTGATGCCACCAGCTTTGCTCTTTTGGCTTAGGAATGACTTGGTGATGCAGGCTCTTTTTTGGTTCCATATGAACTTTAAAGTAGTTTTTTCCAATTCTGTGAAGAAAGTCATTGGTAGCTTGATGGGGATGGAATTGAATCTATAAATTACCTTGGGCAGTATGGCCATTTTCACTATATTGATTCTTCCTACCTATGAGCATGGAATGTTCTTCCATTTCTTTGTATCCTCTTTAATTTCATTGAGCAGTGATTTGTAGTTCTCCTTGAAGAGGTCCTTCCCATCACTTGTAAGTTGGATTCCGAGGCATTTTATTCTCTTTGAAGCAATTGTGAATGGGAGTTCACTCATGATTTGGCTCTCTGTTTGTCTGTTATTGGTGTACAAGAATGTTTGTGATTTTTGCACATTGATTTTGTAACCTGAGACTTTGCTGAAGTTGCTTATCAGCTTAAGGAGATTTTCGGCTGAGACAATGGGGTTTTCTAGATATACAATCCTGTCATCTTCAAACAGGGAAAATTTGACTTCTTCTTTTCCCGATTGAATGCCCTTTATTTCCTTCTCCTGCCTAATTGCCCTGGCCAGAACGTCCAACACTATGTTGAATAGGAGTGGTGAGAGAGGGCATCCCTGTCTTCTGCCAGTTTTCAAAGGGAATGCTTCCAGTTTTTGCCCATTCAGTATGATATTGGCTGTGGGTTTGTCATAGATAGCTCTTATTATTTTGAGATACGACCCATCAATACCTAATTTATTGAAAGTTTTCAGCATGAAGTGTTGTTGAATTTTGTCAAAGGCCTTTTCTGCATCTATTGAGATAATCATGTGGTTTTTGTCTTTGGTTCTGTTTATGCTGGATTACATTTATTGATTTGTGTATATCGAACCAGCCTTCCATCCCAGGGATGAAGCCCACTTGATCATTCTGGGTAAGCTTTTTGATGTGCTGCCACATTTGGTTTGCCAGTATTTTATTGAGGATTTTTGCATCAATGTTCATCAAGGATATTGGTCTAAAATTCTCTTTTCTGGTTGTGTCTCTGCCCAGCTTTGGTATCAGGATGATGCTGGCCTCATAAAATGAGTTAGGCAGGATTCCCTCTTTTTCTATTGATTGGAACAGTTTCCGAAGGAATGGTACCAGTTCCTCCTTGTACCTCTGGTAGAATTCGGCTGTGAATCCATCTGGTCTTGGCCTCTTTTTGGTTGGTAAGCTATTGATTATTGCCACAATTTCAGAGCCTGTTATTGGTCTACTCAGAGATTGAACTTCTTCCTGGTTTAGTCTTGGGGGGGGTGTATGTGTCCAGGAATGTATCCATTTCTTCTAGATTTTCTAGTTTATTTGTGTAGAGGTGTTTGTAGTATTCTCTTATGGTAGTTTGTATTTCTGTGTGATCGGTGGTGATATCCCCTTTATCATTTTTTATTGCGTCTATTTGATTCTTCACTCTTTTCTTCTTTATTAGTCTTGCTAGCGGTCTATCAATTTTGTTGATCCTTTCAAAAAAACCAGCTCCTGGATTCATTGATTTTTTGAAGGGTTTTTTGTGTCTCTATTTCCTTCAGTTCTGCTCTGATTTTAGTTATTTCTTGCCTTCTGCTAGCTTTTGAATGTGTTTGCTCTTGCTTTTCTAGTTCTTTTAATTGTGATGTTAGGATGTCAATTTTGGATCTTTCTGGCTTTCTCTTGTGTGCATTTAGTGCTATAATTTTCCTCTACACACTGCTTTGAATGTGTCCCAGAGATTCTGGTGTGTTGTGTCTTTGTTCTCATTAGTTTCAAAGAACATCTTTATTTCTGCCTTCATTTCGTTATGTACCCAGTAGTCATTCAGGAGCAGGTTGTTCAGTTTCCAAGTAGTTGAGCGGTTTTGAGTGAGTTTCTTAATCCTGAGTTCTAGTCTCATTGCACTGTGGTCTGAGAGACAGTTTGTTATAATTTCCGATCTTTTATATTTGCTGAGGAGAGCTTTACTTCCAACTATGTGGTCAATTTTGGAATAGGTGTGTTGTGGTGCAAAAAAAAATGTATATTCTGTTGATTTGTGGTGGAGAGTTCTGTAAATGTCTATTAGGTCCGCTTGGTGCAGAGCTGAGTTCAATTCCTGGGTATCCTTGTTCACTTTCTGTCTCGTTAATCTGTCTAATGTTGACAGTGGGGTGTTAAAGTCTCCCATTATTAATGTGTGGAAGTCTAAGTCTCTTTGTAGGTCACTCAGGACTTGCTTTATGAATCTGCGTGCTCCTGTATTGGGTGCATATATATTTAGGATAGTTAGCTCCTCTTGTTGAATTGATCCCTTTACCATTATGTAATGGCCATCTTTGTGTCTTTTGATGTTTGTTCATTTAAAGTCTGTTTTATCAGAGATTAGGATTGCAACCCCTGCCTTTTTTTGTTTTCCATTTGCTTGGTAGATCTTCCTCCATCCTTTTATTTTGAGCCTATGTGTGTCTCTGCACATGAGATGGGTTTCCTGAATACAGGACACTGATGGGTCTTGATTCTTTATCCAATTTGCCAGTCTATGTCTTTTAATTGCAGCATTTAGTCCATTCACATTTAAAGTTAATATTGTTATGTGTGAATTTGATCCTGTTATTATGATGTTAGCTGGTTATTTTGCACTTTAGTTGATGCAGTTTCTTCCTAGCCTGGATGGTCTTTACAATTTGGCATGATTTTACAGTGGCTGGTACTGGTTGTTCCTTTCCATGTTTAGTGCTTCCTTCAGGGGCTCTTTTAGGGCAGGGCTGGTGGTGACAAAATCTCTCAGCATTTGCTTGTCTGTAAAGTATTTTATTTCTCCTTCAGTTATGAAGCTTAGTTTGTCTGGATATGAAATTCTGGGTTGAAAATTCTTTTCTTTAAGAATGTTGAATATTGGCCCCCACTCTCTTCTGCCTTGTAGAGTTTCTGCCGAGGGATCCACTGTTAGTCTGATGGGCTTCCCTTTGTAGGTAACCAGACCTTTCTCTCTGGCTGCCCTTAACATTTTTTCCTTCATTTCAACTTTGGTGAATCTGACAATTGTGTGTCTTGGAGTTGCTCTTCTCGAGGAGTATCTTTGTGGCATTCTCTGTACTTCCTGAATCTGAATGTTGGCCTGCCTTGCTAGATTGGGGAAGTTCTCCTGGATAATATCCAGCAGAGTGTTTTCCAACTTGGTTCCATTCTCCCTGTCACTTTCAGGTACACCAATCAAATGTAGATTTGATCTTCTCACATTGTCCCATATTTCTTGGAGACTTTGTTCTTTTCTTTTTAGTCTTTTTTCTCTAAACTTCCCTTCTCACTTCATTTCATTCATTTCATCTTCCATCACTGATACCCTTTCTTCCAGTTGATCACATCGGCTCCTGAGTCTTCTGCATTCTTCACATAGTTCTTGAGCCTTGGCTTTCCACTCCATCAGCTCCTTTAAGCACTTCTCTGTATTGGTTATTCTAGTTATACATTCATCTAAATTTTTTTCAAAGTTTTCAACTTCTTTGCCTTTGGTTTGTATTTCCTCCTGTAGCTCAGAGAAGTTTGATCATCTGAAGCCTTCTTCTCTCCACTCGTCAAAGTGATTCTCCATCCAGCTTTGTTCCATTGCTGGTGAGCAACTGCGTTCCTTTGGAGGAGGAGAAGTGCTCTGCTTTTTAGAGTTTCCAATTTTTCTGCTCTGCTTTTTCCCCATCTTTGTGGTTTTATCTACTTTTGGTCTTTGATGATGGTTATGTACAGATGGGTTTTTGGTGTGGATGTCCTTTCTGTTTGTTAGTTTTCCTTCTAACAGACAGGGCCCTCAGCTGCAGGTTTGTTGGAGTTTGCTAGAGGTCCATTCCAGACCCTGTTTGCCTGGATATCCGCAGCAGTGGCTGCAGAAGAGAGGATTTTCATGAACCGTGAATGCTGCTGTCTGATCGTTCCTCTGGAAGTTTTGTTTCAGAGGAGTACCCGGCCATGTGTGGTGTCAGTCTGCCCCTACTTGGGTGTGCCTCCCAGTTAGGCTGCTTTGGGGTCAGGGCCCAGGGACCAACTTGAGGGGGCACTCTGCCCATTCACAGATCTCCAGCTGCATACTGGGAGAACCACTGCTCTCTTCAATGCTGTCAGACAGGGACATTTAAGTCTGCAGAGGTTACTGCTGTCTTTTTGTTTTTCTGTGCCCTGCCCCCAGAGGTGGAGCCCTACAGAGGCAGGCAGAACCTCCTTGAGCTGTGGTGGGCTCCACCCAGTTTGAGCTTCTTGGCTGCTTTGTTTAACTACGCAAGCCTGGGCAATGGCAGGCCTCCCTCCCTCAGCCTCGCTGCCTCCTTGCCGTTTGATCTCAGACGGCTGTGCTAGCAATCAGTGAGACTCCGTGGGCGTAGGACCCTCTGAGCCATGTGTGGGATATAATCTCCTGGCGTGCCTTTTTTTACGCCCATCAGAAAAGCACAGTATTAGGGTCGGAGTGACCTGATTTTCCAGGTGCCATCTGTCACCCCTTTCTTTGACTAGGAAACGGAACTCACTGATCCCTTGCACTTCCCGAGTGATGCAATGCCTCACCCTGCTTTGGCTCATGCACGGTGTGCTGCACCCCCTGTCCTGCACCCACTGTCTGGCACTCCCTAGTGAGATGAACCCGGTACCTCCGATGGAAATGCAGAAATCACCCATCTTCTGTGTCACTCACACTGGGAGCTGTAGACCGGAGCTTTTCCTATTCGGCCTTCTTGGCTCCCCTCCCAAAAAAGAAATATCTTCATATAAAAACTAGAAAGAATCCTTTTGAGAATCTTCTGTGTAGTGTGTGCATGCATATCAGAGTTAAACATTTCTTTGGATTCAGCATTTTGGAAACACCGTTTTCGTCCATTCTACAAACGGACATTTGGAACTCATTGATGTCAAAGGCAAAAAAGCCAATATCCCAGGATAAAATCTAGATGGAAGCTATCTGAGAAACTATTTCTGATGTGTGTATTCACCTCACAGAGTTAAACGTTTGTTTTCATTCAGCAGTTTGAAAACACTATTTTCTTTCCATTCCGTGAATGGACATTTGGGAGCTCATTGAGGCCAATGTTTAGAAAGAGAATATCCCAGGATAAAAACTCGAAGGAAGCTATTTGAGGAACTGTTTTGTGATGTCTGCATTCTTGCCACAACGTTAAACCTTTCTTTTCAATCAGCAGTTTGGAAACACTGTTTTTGTAGAATCTATGAAGGGATTTTTAGGAGCACATTGAGGACTACAGTGAAAAAGAAATATATTCATACACAAACTAGAAAGAAACTTTCTGAGAATCTCCTTTGTGATGTGTGCATTCATATCACAGATTTAAACATTTCTTTGGATTCAGAAGTTTCGAAACACTGTTTATGTCCATTCTACAAATGGGCATTTGGAACTCATTGAGGCCAGTGGTGAAAAAGCCAATATCACAGGTTAAAAACCAGAAGGAAGCTAGCTGAGAAACTGCTTTGTGATGAGCTCCTTCATCTTTCAGAGTTAAACCTTTTTTTTTTTTTTTCACTCAGCAGTTTGAAAACTCTGTTTCTGTAAATCCGTGAAGGGATATTTAGGAGTGCATTGAGGCCTCTGGTGAAAAAGGTATCATAATCATATAAAAACTAGAAAGAATCTTTCTAAGGAAATGCTTTGTGATGTGTGCATTCATATCACAGAGTTAAACCTTTCTTGTTATTCAGCAGTTTGGAAACACTGGTTTTGCAGAAGCTGCAAAAGGATATTTGGGAGCACATGGAGGCCAATGCTGAAAAAGGAAACATCTTCAGATAAAAAAAAGAAAGAAGATTTCTGAGAAACTGCTTTGTGATGTATGCATTCGTTTCACAGAGTTAAACCTTTCTTTGGATTCAGCAGTTTGTAAACACTGTTTTTGTAGAATCTGCAAAGGCTTATTTGAGAGTACATTGAGGCCTATGGTGAAAAAAAAGCTTCATATGTAAACTAGAAAGAAAGTTGCTGAGAAATTTCATTGTGATGTGTGCATTCATCTCACAGAGTTAATGCTTTCTTATGTTTGAGCAGTTTGGAAACACTGTTTTTATAGAATCTGCAGAGGGATATTTGGGAATGCACCAAGTCCTATGGTGAAAAAGGAAATATCTTCAGATAAAAACTAGAAAGAAGATTTCTGAGAAACTACTTTGTGATGTGTGAATTCACCTCACAAAGTTAAACCTTTCTTTTGATTGAGGAGCTTGGATACAGTTTTCATAGAATATGCAAAGGCATATTTGGGAGCATACTGAGGGCTATGTTGACAAACGAAATATATTCAGATGAAAACTAGAAGGAAGCTTTCTGAGAATCTGCTTTGTGGTGTATGCATTCATCTCAAAAAATTAAACCATTCTTTTGATTGGGCAGTTGGGAATCACTGTTTTTGTAGAATCTGAAAAGGGATATTTGGGAACGCATTCAGGCCTGTGATGAAAAAGGAAATACCTTCAGATAAAAACTAGAAAGAAGTTTCTGAGAAAATGGTTTGTGATGTATCCATTTATCTCACAGTGTTAAAGCCTTGTTTTGATTGAGAAGTTTCAAAACACTGTTTTTGTAGAATCTACCAAGGGATATTTGGGAGCCATTGAGGCCTATGTTGAAAATGGAACCATCTTCAGATAAAAACTAAAAAGAAGCTTTCTGAGAAACTGCTTTGTGATGCATGCATTTATCTCACAGACAAATCTTTCTTTTGATTGAGCAGTTTGCAAACACTGTTTTTGTAGAATCTGCCAAAGGATTTTTGGGAGCACACTGAGGCCTGTGGTAAAAAAGGAAATATCTTCAGGTAAAAACTAGAAAGAAGTTTTCTGAGACACTGATTTTTGATGTGTGCTTTCATCTCACAGAGTTAAAACTTTCTTTTGATTGTGCAGCTTGGAAACACTGCTTTTATAGAATCTGAGAAGGGATATTGAGGAGCAGATGGAGGCCAATTGTGAAAAAGTAAATGTTTTCAGGTATAAATAGAAAAAAGCTTTCTGAGTCACTGCTTTGTAATGCGTGCTTGCATCTCACAGAATGAAAATGTTCTTTTTATTGTGTAATACCTAACTTTGTTTTTACTAACCTTGTTTTTAGACTCTTCCTTTCTCTCTTAATCACCTACCCTTGTTTCCACAGGAATAGACTCTCCCTTAGCTGAGAAAGCTGCATGGATGAACTCCATTTTGCTCCTTCATTTACAAGACATCAAGGAATCCTTACCCATCCTCTTCCTCAAGGAGTTAACTTCTGTAAGCTGACTCTCAACATATCAAAGAGTCCAATTAGCTGATAAGGTACTTAAGCAAGCAGTGTACGAAGTTCCCAGGGTTTCACTCAAGAGATAACACCACAAAGCTGTGAGTTTGTGTCCTGCAGAGCCCCCATACCTAACATCTAATAATAGATTTAGAGCCCCTGCACCTGGAACTGTTTGTTTCCCTGTAACCATTTGTCTTTTAATTTTTTTTCTGTGATTTTACTTCTGTAGAATTGTTGCAACTGAGCTATCCTCCCCTTCCTAAAGCAAAGTATAAAGGAAAATCAAGCCGCTGTCTCAAGGCTGAGAGAATTTTGAGTGTTAGCCATCTTTCGGGTGCCAGCTAAAAAAGGACTCTTAAATTCATCTCAAAGTGTGGTGTTTCTCTAACTCGCTCAGGTACAACAATTGAGTAGTTTAGAAACACTCTTTTTTTAGAAACTGAGAAGGGATATTGGGGAGCATGTTGAGGCCAATGGTGAAATGGGAAATGTCTTCAGATATAAACTAGAAAGAAGCTTTCTGAGACACTGCTTTGTGAAGCATGCTTACATCTCACAGAGTGAAAACATTCTATTTTTTTATCAGTTTAGAAAAACTATTTTTGTAGAATCTGCAAAGAGATCTTTGGGAGTGCTCTCTGGCCTATGGTGAAAAAACATATATTTTCAGATACAACTAGAAAGAAACTTTCTGAGACACTGCTTTGTGATGTGAGCATTCATCACACAGAGTTAAACCTTTCTTTTGATTACATAGTGTGGAAACTCTGTTTTTATAGAATCTGTGAAGAGACATTTGGGAGTGCATTTTGGTCTATGCTGAAAAAAGAAATATCTTCAGAGCAAAACTTGAAAGAAGTTTTCTGAGAAACTGCTTTGTGATATGTCCATTCATCCCACAGAGTTAAACATTACTTTAGATTGAGCAGTTTGGAAACATTGTTTTTGTAGAATCTGCAAAGTGATATTTGGGAGCACATTGTGGCCTGTGATGTAAAAGGAAATAACTTCAGATATAAACTAGAAAGAAGCTTTCTGAATACCCATTTGTGATGTGTGCATTTATCTCACAGAGTTAAACCTTTCTTTTGATTGAGTAGCTTGGAAACTCTGTTTATCTAGAGTCTGCAAAGGGATATTTTTGACTGCATTAAGGCCTATGGTGAAAAAGGAAACACCTTCAGATGAAAATTAGAAAGAAGCTTTCTGAGACACTGCTTTATAATGTATGCATTCAACTCACAGAGTTAAAACTTTCTTTTATTTAGCAGTTTATAAACACTATTTTTGTAAAATCTGTGAAACGATATTTGGGAGCACGTTGAGGCCTATGGTGAAAAAAGAAATATCCATAGATAAAAACTAGAAAGAAGCATTCTGAGAAACTGCTTTGTGATGTGTGGAGTCAACTCACAGAGTTAAACCATTCTTTTGATTGATCAGTTCACAAACACTGTTTTTCTAAATCTGTGAAGGGATATTTGGGAGCACCTTGAGCCCATGGTGAAAAAGGAAATATCATCAGATTGAAAAGAAGAAAGATGCTTTCTGAGAAACTGCTTTGTCATGGTCGCATTCAGCTCATAGAGTTAAATCTTTCTTTTGATTGAGCAGTTTGGAAACACTGTTTTTCTAGAATCAGCAAAGGGATATTTCAGAGTGCATTGAGGCCTATGGTGAAAAAAGGAAATATCTTCAGATAAAAACTAGAAAGAAGATTTCTGAGAAACAGCTTTTTGATGTGTTCATTCATCTCACAGAGGTAAACTTTCTTTTGATTCAGTAGCCTGTAAACACTGTTTTTGTAGAATCAGAGAAGGGATATTTGGGAGTGTATTGAGATCTATAGTGAAAAGTGATATACCTTAAGATAAAAATTAGAAAGAAGCTTCCTGAGAAACTGCTTTGTGATGTGTGCACTCACCTGACAGAGGTAAACCTTTCTTTTCATTGACTAGTTTGTAAACACTGTTTTTGTAGAATCAGCAAAGGGATATTTTGGAGTGCATTGAGGCCTATGGTGAAAACAGAAATATCTTCAGATAAAAACTAAAAAGAAGCTACTCATCTGACAAAGGGATAATATCTAGAATCTACAATGAACTCAAAAAAAGTTACAAGAAAAAAACAAACAACCTCATCAAAAAGTGGGCAAAAGATATGAACAGACACTTCTCAAAAGAAGACATTTATGCAGCGAAAAACACATGAAAAAATGCTCATCATCATTGGCCATCAGAGAAATGCAAATCAAAACCACAATGAGATACCATCTCACACCACTTAGAATGGTGATCATTAAAAAGTCAGGAAACAACAGGTGCTGGAGAGCATGTGGAGAAATGGAACACTTTTACACTGTTGGTGGGACTGTAAACTAGTTCAACCATTGTGGAAGTCAGTGTGGCAATTCCACAGGGATCTAGAACTAGAAATACCATTTGACCCAGCCATCCCATTACTGGATATATACCCAAAGGATTATAAATCATGCTGCTATAAAGACACATGCACAGGTATGTTTATAGCGGCACTATTCACAGTAGCAAAGACTTGGAACCAACCCAAATGTCCAACAACGATAGACTGGATTAAGAAAATGTGGCACATATACACCATGGAATACTGTGCAGCCATAAAAAATGATGAGTTCATGTCCTTCGTAGGGACATGGATGAAACTGGAAACCATCATTCTCAGCAAACTATCACAAGGACAAAAAACCACACATTGCATGTTCTCATTCATAGGTGGGAATTCAACAGTGAGAACACATGGACACAGGAAGGGGAACATCACACACTGGGGACTGTTGTTGGGTGGGAGGAGGGTGGAGGGATAGCATTAGGAGATATACCTAATGTTAAATGATGAGTTAATGGGTGCAGCACACCAACATGGCACATGTTGTGCACATGTACCTTAATCCTTAAAGTATAATAATAATAAAATTTTTAAAAGGTAGAAAAAAACTAAAAAGAAGCTTTCTGAGAAACTGCTTTGTGATGTGTGCATTCATCCCACAGAGTTAAACATTTCTTTCAATTGAGCAGTTTAGAAACATTGTTTTTGTAGAATCTGCGAATGGACATTTAGGAGCACTTCGGGGCCTATGGTGAAAATGGAAATATTTTCAGATAAAAACTAGAAACAAGCTTTCTGAGAAACTGCTTTGTGGTATGTGCATTCACCTCACAGGTTAAAGCTTTCTTTTGATTGAGCAGTTGGAAACAGTGTTTTTGTAGAATCTTCCAAAGGATATTTTGGAGCCTATAGAGGCCTATGGTGAAAAAGGAAATATCTTCAGATAATAACTAGAAAAAAGCTGTCTGAGACACTGCTTTTTGATGTGTGTATTCATCTCACGGAGTTAAAACTTTCTTTTGGTTGAACAGTTTAGAAACACTGTTTTTGTAGAATCCGTGAAGGGATATATGGGAGCACATTGATACCAATGGTGAAAAAGGAAATAATTCAGATAAAAACTAGAAAGAAGCTATATGAGAAACTGCTTTGTGATGCATGCATTCATGTCACAGAGGTATACCTTTCTTTTTATTGAACAGTTTAGAAAAGCCATTTTTGTAGAAACTGCAAAGGTATACTTGGGAATGCTTTGGAGCCTGTGGTGAAAAAGGAAATATCTTCAGATAAAAACTAGAAAGAAGTTATCTGAGACTCTACTTTGTGATGTGTGCATTCATCTCACAGAGATAAACCTTTCTTTTGATTGAAAAGTTTGGATACACTGTTTTTGTAGAGTCTGCAAAGGGATATTTGGGAGTGCATTGAGGCCTATAGTGAGAAGGAAATATCTTCATATGAAAACTAGAAAGAAGCTTTCTGAGACACTGCTTTGTGATGTGTGAATTCGTCTCATAGGGTTAAATCTTTCTTTTGATTGAACAGTTTGGAAACACTGTTTTTGTAGAATCTGAAGAGGGATATATGAGAGCATGCTGAGGCCAATGGTGAAAAAGGAAATATCATCACATAAAAACCGGAAAGAAGCTTTCTGAGAAACTGCTTTGTGATCTTGAATTCATTTCACAGAGTTAAACTTTCTTTTCATTGAGCAGTTTGGAAACACTGTTTATGTAGAATCTCTGAATTGATATTTGGGAGGGCATTGAGGCCTATGGTGAAAAAGTAAATATCTTGAGATATTAACTAGAAAGAACTTTTCTGAGAAGCTGCTTGGTTATGTGTGCATTCATCTCACAGAGTTAAACATTTATTTTGATTGTGGAGTTTGGAAACACTGTTTTTGTGGAATCTGCAATGGGATTTTTGGGAGCTCATTGAGGCCTATGGTGAAAAAGGAAATAACTTCAGATAAAAACTAGAAAGAAGCATTCTGAGAACCTGTTTTGTGATGTGTACATTCATCTCACAGTTAAACCATTCTTTTTAATGAGCAGTTTAGAAACACTGCTTTCTTAGAATGTGAGAAGGGATATTTGAGAGTGCCTTGAGGCCTATGGTAAAAAAGGAAATATCTTCAGATTAAAAGTAGAAAGAAACTCTCTGAGACACCGCTTTCTGATTGTGCATTCATATCACAGAGTTAAACCATTCTTTTTATTGAACAGTTTAAAAACTGCTGTGTGATGCTTACATTCATCTCATCTCACAGAGTTAAACCATTCTTTTGTTTGAGCAGTTCAGAAACACTGTTTTCCTAAATCTGCGAGGGGATATTTTGGAGCCCATTCTGGCATTTGGTGAAAAAGGAAATAGCTTCAGATAAAAAGTAGAAAGAGCTTTCTGAGTCACTACATTGGGATGCATGCTTTCATCTCACTGAGATAAAGCTTTCTTTCAATTGAGCAGTTTGGAAACATGATTTTTGTAGAAACTGAGAAGGTATATTTGGGAGCACATTGAGGTCTATGGTGGAAATGGAAATATCTTCAGATTAAAACTAGAAAAAAGCTTTTTGAGAAACCACATTTTGATGTTACATTCATATCACAAAGTTAAACATATCATTTGATTGAGCAGTTTTGGAAACATTGCTTTTTGTAGAATCTGCAAAGGGATACTTGGGAGGGTATTGAGGCCTATGGTGAAAAAGGACATATCTTCAGATAAAAAGTAGAAAGAAACTTTCTGAGAAACAGCTTTGTCACGTGTGCATTCATCTCACACAGTTAAAGCTTTCTTTTGATTGAGTAGTTTAGAAACACTGTTTTTGTCAAATCTGCACAGGGATATTTGAGATCTCATTGAGACATATGGTGAAAAAGGAAATATCTTCAGATAGAAACTAGAAAAAAGCTTTGTTAGAAGCTACTTTGTGATGTGTACCTTCATCTCACGGAGTTAAAGCTTTGTTTTGATTGAGCAACTTGGAAAAACTCTTTTTGTAGAATCTACGAAGCAGTATTTTGGGAGCAAGTGTAGGTCTATGGTGAAAAAGGAAATATCTTCAGATAAAAACTAGAAATAAGCTTTCTGAGAAACCGCTTTGTGATTTTTGCATTCAGCTATCAGAGTTAAAGCTTTCTTTTGATTGAGCAGTTTGGAAACACTGTTTTTGAAGAATCTGCAAAAGGATATTTGGGAGCGCATTGAAGCTTATGGTAAAAAAAGGAAATATCTTCAGATAAAAACTATAGAGAAGCTTACTGACACACAGCTTTGTGATGGGTGCATTCATCTCACAGAGTTAAATCATCCTTTGATAGAACAGGTGGGAAACACTGTTTTTGTAGAATCTGCAAAGGGATATTTCAGAGTGCATTGAGGCCTAATGTGAAAATGGAAATAGGTGCAGATAAAACTAGAAATAAACTTTCTGAGAAACTGCATTGTGATGTGTGCATTCATCTCACAGTGTTAAAACTTTCTTCCAATCGAGTGCTTTGGAAACACTCTTTTTGAAGAATCTGTGAAGGGATATTTTGGAGTGCATTGAGGCCTATGGTGAAAAAGGAAACATCTTCAAATAAAAACTAGAAAGAAGCTTTCTGAGAAACTGCTTTGTGATGCATACATTCTGCTCACAGAGTTAAAACTTTCCTTTGATGGAACAGTTTGAATACACTGTTTTTGCAGAATCTGCAAAGAGATATTTGGGAGCACATTGAGGCCTATGGTGAAAAAGGAACTATCTTCAGATAAAAACTAGAAAGAAGCTTTCTGAGACACTACTTTGTGATGTGTGCATTCCTGTCACAGTGTTAAATCTTTCTTTTGATTGAACAGTTTGGAAACACTGTTTTTGTAGAATCTATGAAGGGATGTTTGAGAATGCTTTGAGAACTATGCTTTAAAAGGAAATATCCTCAGATAAAAATTAGAAAGACTCTCTCTGAGAAACTGCTTTGTGATGTGTGCATTGACCTCACAGAGTTAAACTTTTGATTGAACAATTTGGAGAAACCATTTTTGTAGAATCTGTGAAGTGATATTTTGGCACACATTGCAACCTATTGTGAAAAAAGAAATATCTTCAAATAACTAGAAAGAAGCTTTTTGAGGAACTGCTTTGTGAAGGGTGCATTCAACTCACAGAGTTAAAAGTTTCTTTTGATTGAGCAGTTTGGAAACACGATTTTTGTAGACTCTGCAAAGGGATATTTGAGAGCACATTGAGTTCTATGGTTAAAAAGAAAATATCTTCAGATAAAAACTAGAAAGAAGCTTTCTGAGACACTGCTTTGGGAAGTGTGCATTCATGTCACAGAGTTAAACCTTTCTTTTGATTCAGCAGTTTGGAAACACTGTTTTTGTAGAATCTGTGAAGGGATATTTGGGACTGCTTTGAGGCCTATGGTGAAAAAGGAAATATCTTCAGATAAAAACTAGAAAGAAGCTTTCTGAGAAACTTCTTTGTGATGTGTGCATTCATCTCACTGAGTTAAACATATCATTTGATTAAGCAGTTTGGAAACACTGTTTTTGTAAAATCTGTGAGAGGATATTTTGAAGTATATTGAAGCCTAGGTTGAAGAAAGATATTTTTACATATGAAAACTAGAAAGTAGCTGTCTGAGGCACTGCATTGTGGTGTGTGCATTCATCTCACAGAGTAAAACTTTCTTTTGATTGAGTAGCTTGGAAGCACTGTTTTTGAAGAAACTGCAAAAGGATATTTGGGAGTGCATTGAGGCCTATGGTGTAAAAGGAAATATCTGCAGATAAAAACTAAAAGAAGCTTTCAGAGAAACAGCTTTGTGATGTGGGCATTCATCTTGCAGAGTTAAACTTTTCTTTTGATTGAGCAGTCTGGAAACACTGTTTTTGTAGAATCTGTGGGGGATATTTTGGATCCATTGAGGCCTGTGGTGAAAAAAGATCTATCTTCAGCTAAAAACCAGAAAGAAGATTTCTCAGAATCTGCTTTGTGATGTGTGCATTCATCTCACGCAGTAAAACCATTCTTTTTATTGAGCTGTTTAGAAACACTGTTTTTTGTAGAACCTGCAAAGGGATATTTCAGAGCAGATTGAGGTCTATGGTGAAAAAGGAAATATATTCACATAAAAATAGAAGAAGGTTTCTGGGGAACTGCTTTGGGATGTATGCATTCATCTCACAGAATTAAACATATCTTTTGATTGAGCAGTTTGGAAACACTGTTTGTATAGAATCTGCGACAGGATATTTGGGAGCACTTTGAGGCCTATGGTAAGAACAAATTATCTTCAGACAAAAAACTAGAAAGTACATCTCTGAGAACCTGCTTTGTGATGTGTGCATTCATCTCACAGAGTTAAACCATTCTTTATATTGGGCAGTTTGCAATCACCGTTTTTGTAAAATCTGCAAAGGAATACTTAGGAGCACATTGGGACCAATAGTGTAAAAAGAAATATCTTCAGATAAAAACTAGAAAGAAGCTTTCTGAGAAACTGCTTTGTGATTGGTGAATTCATCTCACAGAGGCAAGACTTTGTTTTCATTGAGCAGTTTGGAAACACTGCTTTTGTAGAATCTGCAAAGGGATATTTGGGAGTGAATTTAGGCCCATGCTGAAAAAGAAAATATCTTCAGATAAAAACTACATAGAAAATTTTGGAGAAACTGTTTTTTAATGTGAGCATTCAGCTCACAGAGATAAAGCTTTCTTTTGGTTGAGCAGTTTGGAAACCCGATTTTTGTAGAATCTGTGAAAGGATATTTGGGAGAGCAATGAGGCCTATGTTAAAAAGGAAATATCTTCATTTAAAAACCAGAAAGAAGATTTGTAAGAAACTGCTTTGTGATGTCTGAATTCATCTCACAGAATTAAAGGTTTCTTTTCATTCAGCAGTTTGCAAACCCTGTGTTTCTAGAATTTGTGAAAGGATATTTGGAAGAGCTTCAAGGCCTATGGTGAAAAGGGAAATATCTTCAGATAAAAACTAGAAAGAAGCATTCTGAGAAATTGCTTTCTGATGTGTGCATTCACCTCATAGAGTTGAATCTTTCTTTTGATTGAGCATTTTTGAAACACTGTTTATGTAGAATGTGTGAAGGGATATTTTGGAGTGCATTGAGGCCTTATGGTGAAAAAGGAAATATCTTCAGATAAAAACTAGTAAGAATCTTTCTGAGAAACTGCTTTGTGATGTTTGCTTTCAGGTCAAAGAGCTAAAGCTTTTTTTTGATTGAGCAGTTAGGAAACACTGTTTTTGTAGAATCTTTGAAAGGATATTTGGGAGCACATTGAGGCCTCTGGTGAAAAAGGAAATATCTTCAGATAAAAACTACAAAGAAGCTTTTTGAGAATCTGCTTTGTGGTGTGTGCATTCATCTCACAGAGGTAAAACTTCGTTTTGATAGAGCAGTTTGGAAACACTCTTATGGAAGAATCTGCAAAGGGAAATTTGGGAATGCTCTGAATCCTATGGTGAAAAAGGAAATATCTTCAGAAAAAAACTACAAAGAAGCTTTCAGAGAAACTGCTTTGGGATGTGTGCATTCAGCTCACAGAGTTAAAGCTTTCATTGATTGAGCAGTTTGGAAACACTGTTTTTGTATAATCTGTGAAAGGATATAAGTGATTGCATTGAGGTCTATGGTGAAAAAGGAAACATCTTCTGATAAAATTTAGAAAGAAGCTTTCTGAGACACTGCTTTGTGATGTGTGCATTCATCTTTTCTTTTGATTGAGCAGTTTGGAAACACTGTCTTTGTAGAATCTGCGATGGGATATATGGGAGAGCATTGAGGCCTATGGTGAAAACGGAAATATCTTCAGATAACTAGAAAGAAGCTTTCTGAGAAACTGTTTTGTGATGTGTGCATTCATCTTACAGAGTTAAACTTTCTTTTGATTAGGCAGTTTGGAAACACTGTTTTTGTATAATTTTCAAGTGGCTATTTGTGAAGGCATTGAGGCCTATGGTGAAAAAGGAAATATCTTTAGATAAAAGCTAGAAAAAAGCTTTTTGATAAGCTGCTTTGTGATGTGTGGGTTTATCTCACAGAGTTAAACTTTCTATTGATTCAACAGTTTGCAAAATCTGTTTTTGTAGAATCTGCAAAGGGACATTTGGGAGTGCATTGAAGTCTATGGTGAAAAAGTAATATCTTCAGATAAGAACTAGAAAGAAGCTTTCTGAGAGACTGCTTTGTGATGTGTGCATTCATCTCACAGAGTTAAAAATTTCTGTTCATTGAGCCGTCTGGAAACACTGTTTTTGTAGAATCTGCAAAGCAATATTTGAGAGTGCACTGAGGTCTACGGTGAAAAAGGAAATATCTTCAGATAACTAGAAAGAAGCTTTCTGAGAAACTGATTTGTGAAGTGTGCATTAATCTCATAGAGTTACTCTTTCTTTCAATTGAGCAGCTTGGAAACACTGTTTTTGTAGAAACTGCAAAGGGATATTTGCGAGGGCATTGAGGCCTATAGTGAAAAAGGAAATTTCTTCAGATAAAAAATAGAAAGAAACTTTCTAAGAAGCAGCTTTGTGATATGTGCTTTCAGTTCACGGAGTTAAAGCTCTCTTTGATTGATCAGTTTGGAAAAACTCTTTTTGGATAATCTGCAAAAGGATGTTAATTAATGCATTGAGGCCTATGGTAAAAAAGGAAATATCTTCTGATAAAATTTAGAAAGAAGCTTTCTGAGACACTGCTTTGTGACATGTGAATTCATCTCAGAGTGATAAACCTTTGTTTTGATTGAGCAGTTTGGAAACACTCTTTTTATAGAATCTCTGAAGGGATATTTGGGAGTTAATTGAGGCCTATGGTGAAAAAGGGAATATCTTCAGATAAAAACTAGAAAGAAGTTATCTGAGACTCTGCTTTGTGATGTGTGCATTCATCTTACAGAGGTAAAGTTTTATTTTCATTGAGCAGCTTAGAAACATTGTTTTTCTAGAATCTGTGAAGGAATATTTGGGAACACATTGAGGCCTATGGTAAAAAGCAAAATATTTTCAGATAAAACTAGCAAGATGCTTTCTGAGAAACTACTTTGTGATGTGTGCATTCATCTCACAGAGTTAAAGTTTTCTTTTAATTGAGCAGTTTGGAAGCAATGTTTTTAAGAATCTGTGAAGGTATGTTTGAGAGCATCCTGAGGCCTATGGTGAGAAAGGAAATATCTTCATATAAAAACTAGAAAGAAGCTTTCTGAGAAACTACTTCATGATGTGTGCATTCATATCACTGGTTTAAAGCCTTCCCTTGAGTTAGCAGTTGGGAAACCCTGTTTTTCTTGATTCTATGAAAGGATATTGAGAGTGCATCATGGCCCATGGTGAAAAAGGGAATATCTTCAGATAAAAACAAGAAAGAATATATCTGACACACTGCTTTGTGATATGTGCTTTCATCTCACAGAGTTAAAACTTTCATTTGATTGAGCAGTTTGGAAACACTGTTTTTGTAGATCTGCAAAGTGATATTTTGGAGTACATTGAGGTCTATGATGAAAAAGAAATTATCTTCAGATAAACACTAGAAAGAAGCTTTCTGAGATACTGCTTTGTGATGTGTGCATCCATGTCACAGAGTTAAACCTTTCTTTTTATTGAGAAGTTTGGAAACACTGCTTTTGTAGAATCTGCGAAGGGCTATTTGGGCCTACAGTGAAAAAGGAACTATCTTCAGATAAAAGCTAGAAAGAAGCTTTCTGAGACACTAATTTCTGATCTGTGCATTCATCTCACAGAGTTAAATTTTTCTTTTGATTGAGCAGTTTAGAAACATTGTTTCTGTAGAATCCACAAAGCCATATTTGGGAGTGCATTGAGGTCTATGGTGAAAAAGTAAATATCTTTTGATAAAAACTAGAAAGAAGATTTCTGAGAAATCACTCTGTGATGTCTGCATTCATCTAACAGAGTTAAACCTTTCTTTCAATTGAGCAGTTTGGAAACAGTGTTTTTGTAGAATCTCCAAAAGCATATTTGGGAGCACATTGAGGAATATGGCAAAAAAGGAAATATCTTCAGATAAAAACTAGAAAGAAGCTTTCTGAAACACTGCTTTGTGGTGTGTGCATTCATCTCACAGAGTTAAAATTTTCTTTTGATTAAGCAGTTTGGGAACACTGTTTTTCTAGAATCTGTAAAGTGATATTTGGGAGTGCACTGAGGTCTGTGGTAAAAAGGAAATATCTGTAGATAAACACTTGAAATAAGATTTCTGAGAGACTGCTTTCTGATGTGTGCATTTATCTAACAGAGTTAAACTTTTCTTTCAATTGAGAAGTATGGAAATACTGTTCTGTAGAATCTGAGGAAGGATATTTAGGAGCTCACTGAGGCCTTTGGGGATAAAGGGAATATCTTGTTTTGATTGTGCAGCTTAGAAACTGTTTTTATAGAATCTGCAAAAGGATATTTGGGAGCATCCTGAGGCCTATGGTGAAAAAGGAAATATCTTCAGATAAAAAACTAGAAAGAAGCTTTCTGAGTTATTGCTTTGTGATGTGTGCATTCATCTCACAGATTTAAACTTTTCTTTGGATTGAACAGCTTGGAAACACTGTTTTTGTAGAATCTGCGAAGGGATACTTGGGAGTGCATTGTGGCCTATGATGAGAAATGAAAATATCTTCAGATAAAAACTAGAAAGTAGCTTTCTGAGACACTGTTTTGTGATGTGTCCATTCATCTCACATTCTTAAATCTTTCTTTTGAGTGAGCAGATTGGAAACACTGTTTTTGTAGAATATACAAAGGGATATTTAGGAGTGCATTGAGGCCTATGGTAAAAAAGGAAATATGTTTAGATAAAAACTAGAAAGAAGTTTCTGAGAAACTGCTTTGTGATTTGTGCATTCATCTCATGGAGGTAAACCTTTCTTTTGATTGAGCAGTTTGTAAAGACTGTTTTTGTACAATCTGTGGATGGATATCTGGGAACACACTGAAGTTTATGGTAAAAATGAAAATATCTTCAGATAAAAACTACAAAGAAGCTTTCTCAGAAACTGCTTTGTGATATGTGCATTCATCTCACAGAGTTAAACCTTTCTATTGATTCAGCAGTATGGAAACATGGTTTTTGTAGAATCTGTGAGGGGACATTTGGGAGTGCATGGAGGCTTATGGTGAAAAAGAAAATATCTTCAGATAAATACTAGAAAGAATCGTCCTTAGAAACTGCTATGTGATCTTGGCATTCATGTCACAAGGTTAAACCTAATTTTTGATTCCACAGTTTGGAAACATGGTTTTTGTAGAATCTGAGAAGGGATATTTTGGGGTGCAGTGAGGCATATGTTGAAAAAGAAAATATCTTCATATAAAAACTAGAAAGAGGCTTTCTGAGAAACAGCTTTGTGATGTGTGCATTCATCTCACAGAGTTAAACCTTTCTTTTGATTTGGCTATTTGGAAACACTGTTTTTTTAAGAAACCGTGAAGGGATATGTCTGAGCGCATAGAGGCCTATGGGAAAAAAGAAAATATCTTCAGATAAAAACGAGAAAGAAACGTTCTGAGAAACAGCTTTGTGATGTGTGCATTAATCTCACAGAGTTAAACCATTCTTTTGATTCAGCAGTTTAGAAAGACTGTTTTCTACAATGTGTGAATGCAAACTTCAGCATGCATTCAGGCCTTTGGTGAAAAAGGAAATACCTTCAGATAAAAACTATGAAGAAGCTTTCTGAGAAACTGCCTTGAGATGTGCACATTCACCTCACAGAGTTAAACCTTTCTTTTGATTCAGGAGTTTGGATACACTGCTTTTGTAGAATCTGCATAGGTATATTTCCAAAGGCATTGGAGCCTATGGTCAAAAAGAAAACATCTTCAGAAACAAACTAGAAAGAAGTTATCTGAGAAACTGCTTTGTGATGTGTGCATTCATCTCGTAGAGTTAAACTTTTCTTTTGATTCAACAGTTTGGAAACACCGTGTTTGTAGAATCTGCAAAGTCATATTTGGGAGCACTTTGAGGCTTATGGTGAAAAAGAAAATATCTTCAGATAAATCCTGGAAAGAATCTTTCTGAGAAACTGCTTTGTGATCTGTTCATTCATCTCACAGGGTTAAACCTCTCTGTTGATTCAGCAGTTGGAAACAATGTTTTTGTAGAATCTGCATAGATATATTTGGGAGTGCATTGAGGCTTCTGGTGAAAAATAAAATGTCTTCAGATAAAAATGAGAAAGAAGCTTTCTGAGTAACTGCTTTGTGATGTGTGCATTCATCCCACAGAGATAAAACGTCCTTTGATTCCTTTGATTCAACAATTTGGAAACACTGGTTTTATAGAAACTGAGAAGGGATATTACTGAGTACGTTAAAGCACATGGTGAAAGAGAAAATATCTCCAGATAAAAACTAGAAAGAAATTTTCTCAGAAACTGCTTTGTGATGTGTTCATTCATCTCACAGAGTTAAACCTTTCTTTTGATTCAGCAGTTTGGAAACACTGCTAATTTAGTGTTTGTGAAGGGATATTTGGGAGTGCATTGAGGCCTACAGTGAAAAAGAAAGTATCTTCACAGAAAACATAGAAAGAAGTTTTATGAGAAACTGTTTTGTGCTGTCTCCATTCACCTCACAGAGTCAAACCTTTCTTTTGATTCAGCAGTTTGGAAACAGTCTTTTGTAGAATCTGTGAAGGAATATTTGGGAGCTCATTCAGCCCTACAGTGAAAAATAAAATATCTTCACAGAAAATCTAGAAAGAAGCTTTATGAGAAACTGCTTTGTGTTGTCTCCATTCAACCACAGAGTTAAACCTTTCGTTTGATTCAGCATTTTGGAAACAGTGTTTTTGTAGAATCTGCAAAGGGATATTTGGGAGTGCATTCAGGCCTACAGTGAAAAAGAAAGTACCTTCAGATAAAAACAAGAAAGAAGCTTTCTGAGAAACTGCTTTCTGATATATGCATTCAACTCAATTAAACCTTTCATTTGAATCAGCACATTGGAAACACAGTTTTTGAAGAATGTGCAAAGGGATATTTCAGAGCGCATTCAGGCCTATGGTGAAAAAGAAGATATCTTCAGATAAAAAGAAGAAAGAAGTTTTCTG